>NC_000003.12:126584361-126735877 GCF_000001405.40 Homo sapiens | reverse complement strand
AATAGCATCAAGCAATAGAAGCCAACTTCAGCTTACTTAAGCAAAGGAAAGTTGACTGGCAGGTCATCAATGGATGATCCAAACCTCAAGAAGGCAGGAGGACCAGACAGAAACCAATGGTACCCTGAAAGTGTAGGAGATGGCAAAAGATATAACCTCATAGCATGAAGGGGCTGACTGCAACACCTGAGAGACAATGAGGAACTCCCATCCTGGCCTCCTGCCATTCCTCTATACTCACTCAAAACTGAAGGTCCTCAGGCATGAGGTGCAAGCTGGCTAAGCTTGCACTGTGCCCAGATCCAGCTTCCACAGAGGAATTACAATCCCACCAAGTCTACACACAGCAGGAAACAGGAACACTCCCAAAAGGAAACTGGAACACCAGTTGCATTGAGAAATGAACGCTGAGCAGTCAGAAAATGAGAATGCCCATGAAAGTAGTTAAATGTTTTTAAAATGAAGGAAGTAACTTATGTCACTATTCCCTAAGAATTCTGGCTCAGAAAAGGGGATTATTATCCATCTAGAGACCTGAGGGGGATGGGAATCAAGTTCTTCCCCAAGGGATAGTCCTGAGAAAGCGGCGCTCAATCTCCTTTGCAGGAGTAAGAATGGGAAGCTGTGAATTCTTTCACTGTAATTAATACATTCCAGGTGAGAACGAAGAGACAGCAGACCTGTAGGTTGTAATCTTCCACCTCTAGAGGAGGCCAACTTTTCCTGCTCATGCCATACTGATTAACGCGTCATCTCCAGGATAGGGGTCCTTCTTACTTGGTTGTCAGGCTGCCTGCAGAGGGGTAACAACCCATCTGCCTCTCAGAGACTGACTGCAAGAGCCTCTGAAGGCATGCCCTGGCCCCGGTTTCTCACTGCATCAACCGATTCCTCACCAGGATGCCATGGGGTTCTAAAAGCACAAGTCAGATCTCATCACTCCCATCCTTACAAACTTCAGGAACCATTGACTGTTTCAGGATCGATGCGGGCTACTTTGAGGGTTAACTCCTCAGCACATCCAAGGCCTTCTAAAATCCAGCTTCAAACCTCACTCTTCTCACTGGATCCGATCACCTTCTCAACACCTGCCTCTCAGCCCAACTGCCCCTCAGCCTTAAGGCTGAGTTTAATGCCGTCTCTGATCTACCAGCTCTGATCCACCAGCAGCTTATACATTTGCATTTCCAAATCTTTTCTTCAATTTAACAACTACTGTAACCAATCTGGCCTTTTTCAAAGTTCTTAGTTTGTCTTCTCCACAGACTAAAACTTCCCGAGGGCTAGGATCCTACATTGTTTGTATTTCCCAGAGGGCCTGGTTCAAAGTGCATTTATGTGCCTACTGCACACTTCAAACATTTGTGTAGTCATCAAATTAGTAAGCTAAGGCCTGTGCCCAGCCAGCATGTCTGGCCTCCCAGGAGAGCACAATCCCAAATGATGCTTTCACATCGTGTTCAACCCCCTTCTACACAGCACCGTGTGTACGAGGCTACCCACCTAAAGTAGTGCAAGGCTGTTCCTGGTCTCAAACCTCATGGCCTCCAGCAGATGTTATTAGATGCCGCCCACAGCCATGCTTCCCTCCCCCAACTTCCTTGCTGTCAGTCCTAATTCTAGCTGGATATGCAACCTCCCTAATGTGACTAGAAAAGAGCCCTAGCTGCAGTCAGTGGAGCCCTCTGTATCCCCTCTGCTGAGGACTGGCTTAGCCATGGGCACCTGGTACAATTCAAGCCAGTGTGATGTAAGAGGAATTCTGCCAGGAGCTTCTAGGAAAGTTATCCCTGTGATAGAGACACAAGGGTCGGCACAGCCTCTCTTCTTCTACTGAGGGTTTTACTGTCTGCATGGGACTTGTGGGGCAGTAACAGCCTTCATTAACCATGGGGACAGCCTGCCTAGGATGCACTGGCACACTGTGGATGGCAGAGTGGCAGGAAGAGAAGCACCAGGTCCATGATGATGCTAGTGAGCCACTGAATTAGTCAACCCTGGGGGCACTTGAGACTTCTCATGTTGCAAAATAAATGCTGCACTTAAGCAAAAAGATCCTAATAGCCACCCATCACTTAAATGTATTAATGATAACAACAATAGTGCACTCCCATGGTCTGCCAGCATGTGCTAAGTCCTGGACAAATACTATCTCCTCTGATTCCCTGGGCAGTCCTGTGTGTAAACATCACGAACTTCAAGCAAGACTCACAGACAGGGTGTCCAGGATTTGCACCCAACCTGCCTAACTCTAAAGATGATGCCCTCCCTGTCATATATTACATGGCTCCAGGCCTCTAGTCCTCTGCCCTCACACGCTCCTGACACACATACCACTGCAGCCCTGACATCTGTGAAGTTTCAGAGCTAAGTGAGACTGTTGAGTGGTCTGGTCCCTTACTGTGTAGACCTGAGGCCACAGAGACTGCAAAAACATGCCAAAGGCAGCAAAGCAAATCACTGACAGAGCCAGGGCTGGGAGAACCCCAGTTCCTGGCTCCCAAAAGACCCTTTTCCACAGAGGTGAAGCCGAGCACATCCCAGGGGCAGCCTGAGCCAGCAGGGCTTCAGACTAACCAGGTGCCAGGGCCCGCCCCCTATTTCCCAGGGTGCTGCCCAGCTCAGAAGGCCAGATCAGGGAAAATCTGCACTCACCAGCCGGACTGACTTCTGCTCCTCATGGCTGATGCTGCCTTCGCCCGTGGGCAGGGATGCCTTGGAGTGCTTGGTGGCAGCCTCTCTTTCCCTCTTTGCCACCTGGAAGAGCTTATCCTGGATAGCAGCATGCTCCTGTTCATACCTGTGCAGAAGAAACATGAGGAGAAACAGATGTGGATGGCATGACGGGCAGCCCATAGCCAAGACAAGATCTGCGCACTCACTTCAGCCACCAGGGAAATGCTGAAACCAGCCAGCGGCTGGTCAGGAAAGGAGAGAGTGCTGTGAAACCGCATGCCCCATCATTCCACACCCAAGCTCAGGCATCAGTGACAGCTCCCCAGACAAGAGGAGACAATGACACTGAGCCAAGACAACACAGCTCAGGAACAGGAGGAGACCTGGCCAAGTAGGCAGCCCCATGCCCAGTGAGAGTCTCAGGGAGGGGCTCAATCCACGGATTGCCTCCACTTGAGAGCTTGAAGATTTGAGATGGTAGTAGTCCTCTGTTTTGAACATTTAACTCTTCATTCTGAATATCTTCCTACCCTTTGACCTATTTCTGGGCATTCTGCCTAGTAAAATAATCCTATAGAGAATAAAAAAGTTATTAGTGCTGAGATGCTCTTAACAGTATTATTTATTGTAGTGAAAAAAATGCAAGCAACCTAAATGTCCCAAAATCAAGGTCAAGCTAAAGAAAATATGGTGTGATCATATAATGATCTATGACATCATCACTAGAAAATAGTCTTTCATTTGTCTGTAGGTTGAATCTAAAAACTGAGAACCAATAAATGCTTTTAGCAATAAAACTGCTTATAAAGCAGGTGCAACTAATGACAAATCATTATAATACTAAGTGAAAATAGCAAGATATGAAATTATCTATGACATTCAAAAAATAACCCTAAACGGGGGGTGAGGGGACTGGGTGGAGAAGAACATGAAATACTCCAAAATATTAACAGTGGTTGTCTTGAGATGATGAGTCTATGGGTGATTTTTTCACTTTGTATATTTTCTAAATCTTTCATTAGCAGGCATTACTTTACCATTTTTAAAATGTTTAAAAGTACCAAAAAAGCAGGGTTCAGGTTAATAGTTGGCTTTTTTTCCTCTTTTTTTTTTTTTTTTTTTTGGTTTTGGGTCTCACAATGTGGTCCAGGCTGGAGTGCAGTGGTGCAATCATAACTCACTGTAAACTCCAACTTCTGGGCTCAAGCAATCCTCCCACCTCAGCCTCTTGAGCAGCTGGGACTACAGGCATGTGTTACTACCCCCCAGTTAACGTTTTTAATTTTTTTGTAGAGACAGGGTCTCACTATGTTGCCCAGACTGGGCTCAAACTCCTGACTTCAAGCAATCCTCCTGCTTTAGCCTCCTAAATTCACTGGGATTACAGGATTGAGCCACCACACCTGGCCAGGTGAGTTATTCTTGCTAAGACCGATTAGGGAGAGTAAATCTTAGAATGTGGGTCTTAACCCATGGCTATGCAACAGACCCAACATGGCTGAACTACTAGAGGGCAAACGCCCAACCATGGCTGACACTGGGCCCCCTAAGCTGACCCACTGGGTCCTCTGACCATACTGAGGGCAATTTCCTCAAGGATGCTGAAGAGGTCAATCAGTAACAACTACTGTGAGCATCCACTGAGAACTCTGTAGGCCAGGTGCTGTGCTCATGTGCATGATATATATAAACATATTTAACCATGACAAGATCCCAATTAAAGAAGTACTCTTCTTAGCCCTTCTTAGATGCAGTGATATTTCAAGTTCACATAACTAGTAAGTTGCAGGATCAAGATGCCACCCTGTGCTCCACTGGGGCCTCTGTGCCTTAACCACTTTGCTAAAACTTCTCCGGCGACAGGAAGCAGGTCCCATGACAGAGGTGTGGCCAGCTCTTGGGGTCGTGGCCTGTGCTCACAAAGTTACCAACATCCTGGAGCCAGTTCATCTGGACAACCACAGTTAGCACTGGGAGGGCTCCACTTCCTCATCTCTCTAAAAACATGCCTGCATGTGCACACACATGCAGAAGTTCCAGCCACTCAACTGTTTAGTCCTAGCTTTTTTAAATGATTTTTTTTTTTTTTTTTTTTTTTTTTTTAGAGACAGGGTCACCAAGGCTGGAGTTCAGTGGTGCAATCACAGCTCCCTGCAGCCTCAGCTTCCTGAACTCAAGTGATTCTTCCACCTCAGCCTCCCGAGTAACTGGGACTACACAGGCACACACCACCACCCCCAGCTAATTTTTTATCTTTTAGAGACAGGGTCTTGCTATGTTGCCCAGGCTGGTCTCAAACTCCTGGCCTCAAGCAACCCTCCTGCCTTGGCCTCTCAAACTGCTGGGCATGAGGAACATTAACAATCAATTCCCCTATGCCCCTTTTGGTGTTTCTACATCTTTAAACTAGGACCAGTGATACCTATACCATAGGGTTGTCCTTCAATGCAACTGAGATTAATTATGTGAGACAAAGCCTCCAGGGCTTCAGGCAAGGAGAGGGGTACCCAGTGAGGAAAGAGGCTTTTAGGCGGAGCGCAGTGCCGGGAGCAAGCAGGCTCTCGGGCTCACCTCTTGACACCCTCCTTCATCCCTGAGGGCTGCTGGCCACCACTGCTCCCCGACCTGGGCAGTGTGGATTCTGCAAAGGAAAGAGAAGAAAGGGCCTGTCAGTGGCACCCCAGGGTCCACGAAGTCACAGAGGTCACCCAGAGAGGAATGACCCCCATGAATGAATGTGCCCCTTGGAAGGCAGCATCACAGATGTGTCCCCACAAAGGAGCGTCCACAGGGGCAGACAAGGAACACCCTTGATTCAAGCTGTCTGGAAAGCCAGATGATCCAAGCCACCTCTTATCCCGAAGGGGTCTCTGCACCAGGATGCCCACAACACTGGGTGCAGTGTTCCAAACCCATCCCTACTCTCCTGACAATTATTTGGAATCCAGGTCATCTCCTAAGCACAGGCCAGGAGTGGCTGCGGGAAGGTATTGCTTTGCTTCATGAGGACAACCTCCCGGGTAGAGGTTTTGGCATAGGGAAGGGAAGGGGTGGGGGCTCTTTAAATCTTGTTTCCCTTAGTACCCACCTGAGTCTGCACAATCCTCACTGTGGCAAATGCCCCATATTAAACCTAATTCTACTTAACCACTATCGCCTTTAGTATTATTGGGCTCTTTTTGTTGTTACAGTAGGTCCCTTTTGATCATCACGAATTTCGGGATTTCTGAGCAAATCCAATTCACTCTCCCCACCACTTGCTGATACTGAAGGTTTTGTTACTACCCTGTCCCCAGCCTTTACCCTTCCAAAGCTCTCTGTCAGCCAAAGCTCACCACCTTTCTTGGCCTTCTCCGATGTCCCACACCTCCCTCCACCACAGGGTTCTATGCACCAGCAGCCAGAACCACATAGAGCATAACATAAGAACCAGGCTGTGTGAGGCGCTCAATGAGGGTGTGCGACTCCACCCCAGACCCGTCAGGGATCCTTCGGGGGGCACTTCTGAAAGCATCAGCTGTGACTACTCGCACTTTCAAACCACCTCTCATGGGAGGAGAGCACCTCCCATGCTCCTCAGCAACACACCAGGTTCTCAACTGAGGTGAACTCAGGAGCCTGCTGCGGGGTTTCATCTCCACACTAGTGCTCGCCATGCTTATTTATTTGTCTGAAGAGCTTTACTGAGGTTTAATGTCTGGTATTTTTGCTTTTTATATAATTTTCCATTTTTTAACTACAAAAATAACGGGGCTGCCAATGTAGAGCATGTGGCACTCATCCTCACTGCCCTTTCTGTGTGCCCCTGCCCGCTCCCCGCTCCCTTGGAGTGCACATTGTTGAACATGTGTTTCTTTCAGTATTAGTGACGTGGAGATCCTGTCATGAGTATGGCCATCTGTGCACATTTCCTACTGAGTTGTCTTTCTTAAAGATCTTTAAGAACTCGCTACATATTAAGATTACTAGGACTTTGTCAAATGTTATATTTTCCCTAACTTATCCATTCCTGTTACTTCTTTTCTAAATTGTCTAATTTCTTATATTCACATTTCCTATTTTTTTTAATTTAAGGTTTCTTCGTTTAATATGACGTGTAGAAAATCTATCTTCTATTGTACTTTCATGGCTTCAAGCCATACATTTCAATCTTTTATTTCCTCTGACATTTTTGGGGGGTATAGTATGAGAAGAATTTAATTTTAATTTCTTTTTCTAACTTTGTTCCATCACTAAAATAAAGCAAAAACTGGTTTTAAAAGTACAAAATATCTTAAAATTAGTTAACTTTAAGACAGTCCATTTATGCTGACTCTTCAACATTCAGAAACAAAACTTACACCTATCATTTAAACAGCAAAGTACTTTGTTATAATTAACTCCAAGTGACAAAAGAACCACTGTTCTTGCTTTCTAAACTGCTGGAACTTACCAAACTGAAGCAAATGCTTCTTATTTCTTCTAAAGCTGAAACTGATGTGTAGTATTATATATTATGGCAATTTTCGCTTTTATCATCACTTTCTCCCTCTTTCGAGTTAATCCAGTTTGTTAAAGTGCATTGGGTCAAGTTAGACTCCTCTTAAGCCCTTCTCATCAGTTAGTTAGAGCCAGCGTGGGGAGTAAGTGAGCCCTATTAGTAAAGGACAAGGGCTTCTTGGAGGGTTTTCGGGAATCTCACACATCCCCTACAGTGGTAGATATTCAGAAAGATCTTGGGGTGGGTCCAAATCCAGGTGCTGACTGGCTCCTGGGCAATGCTTCTAGGCCCCCGAGCAGGCTGGGATGCACCCTGTCGCCGGACCTCCGCTCCTGCAATCTGCCCATTCGCAGTGCCCACCCACCACCATTCCTCCTGCCTTTCACAGTCCCTCTTCTCCCGTGAGCCTGGTACAGATTCCAGTGTTGCATCACAACATGACACATAACTCATCAGTCTCCATAACCAGAGCCAGGTGTGCCATGAGAGAGGGTCCCTGCCCACCTATCACTGTGTCTTGGCACAGGGCACAGGACTTGGTTCTGGGTGGCCTTCAGTAAACACTAAGTGGGCAGGATACAGCTCTCATATTCTAAACTCTTTCAACCCAACAGGGAAGATGAGTAGAAAAGGCAACTGTAACGCGAGACCAGGCCCAAGAAGAACAATCTAGTGGGTGGTTATCCACCTGAACAGTCGGTCCTTCCGTGGTGGCATGCTGCCTCCAGCCAATCTTTTTTTTTTTTTAATTGAGTTACGGAATCTGATAGACAGACCCAAGTTCTCAAAAACAAGTATGTTTTGAGCAGTTGCTCCAAGGACTTTTTTATTTTGTAATATTTTAACATTTGTATGCCTTAGAACTTTTTTCCTTAAAATTTTATTTCCTTGTGTTTGCTACAAGTCGTTATTTGGGGAAAGCACAAATTTCTTCATTTGCAACACGCACAATACAGTAGGGAACAAATCAGCTTTGAGCCCGGCTTGAGCACCAGCTTCACAGTGGGCCAGGAAGAGGAACTCCTAGGACCCCTCCTAGAAGCCCAGAGGGAACCATTCCAAGGGCCAGGACAGGAGCTCTCGGCCTGAGGCTCAGGTGAGGGCTGCTGCGGTAGGCGCCTAAATCACTGACGGAATTCTCCTATACTTGGCCCTGTTCACGTGAATCCACATCATTCTTTGACTTGGGAGTTAGGCTAGAGTGGCTGAAGCTGAGTCATGGCTATGCCGCCTCTGAGGAGCCTTAAAGGCAACTTCTTTCCTGAGCTGTCAACTCAGGTCCTTCTGCCTCAATTCCCACATGGAGAAAGTGGCACAGAGGGAAGGTGGTCCGACCCGAATCCCGGCAGCTCTGATGACAGCCCCATCACTCCCAGAAAGCCATGCTCTTCCGGAAAGCCCTTACCAGACAGAGCTGCTTAACGTCATCCAGAAGCCAACCTGAGCCCTGTGCGCCATCAGGTGGGCTCGGGTGAGCACCCATCACTCCTTTCACTGTCTCTCCACACTCCACAGAACTGTCACAATCCCCATACCTTTGTGAGGGGCTCTCAAGTTGCCATCTTGAAGGCCAAAGGTAGAAGATGTGGGAGCAGGGGGTGGAGAGCTGGGCTCCTTCATGCGGTTCACCACGTTTTCAGACAGCTAAGGAAGCAGAAAAGAGGGAAAAGAAAAAGTTATGTCACAGAAGTGCCTGGAAGCAAAGCCTCCTCTTTATTCAGGCCCCAGATTTACTGAATGCGCTGCTTCCTCAAGACCAACTCCAACAAAGCAATTCTACTAAAACTCCTCTCGTGGTGGCCCAGTGCCTACCAGGTCCATGCTGAGCCCATCCGGATTCCCAAGCCTACCAATATATGTCCCCTGCTGGCTTTGCGGCTTTACCCCCACCACTTCCCTCCACACACCCAGTCCTCAGGGGAACCTGATGTCTCACTTTTCTCACCTCTTCTGAATTCAGGCATGCTCTTCCCTCTGAACCACCTCCAGCCCACCACCTCCCTCTCTGGGACATCTCCACCCATCCAAATCATATCCTTTCTTTGGAGGTATCTCAATGTCCCCTTCTCCAGGGAAGGCTGCTCCTCGACAGCATGCAAGTGAAGCACAGGTACCTCCTTCTATCACATTTCTCTTTATTCCACTTTGCAGATAACACATTTTTTTTTTTACAAGTTGAAGGTCTGTGGCAAGCCTGCATCAGGCAAGTCTACTGGTGCTGTCTTTCCAACAGCATGTACTTTGTGTCTCTCAGTCATGTTTTGATAATTCTCATGATACTTGAAGCTTTTTCATTGTTATATCTGTTACAGTGATCTGTGATCAGTGACATTTCATGTTACTCTTGTAATTGTTTTGGGACACTGAGAACATTGTCCATGTAAGACGGCGAACTTAACCGATAAATGCTGTTGTGTTCTGATGGCTCCAGCAATGAGCCATTCCCCGACCCCTGTCTCTCTCCCTCTCCTTGGGCCTTTCTATCCCCTGAGACACAACAAAATTAGGCCAATTAATAACCCTGCAATGGCCTCTAAGTGTTCAAATGAAAAGTCCCATGTCTCTCACTTTAAATTAAAAACTACAAATGATTAAGCTTAGTGAGGAAGGCATGTCGAAAGCTAAGATAGGCCGAGAGCTAGGCCTGTTGCACCTAACAGTTAGCCAAGTTAGGAAAAGTTGTTGAAAGAAGTTACATGTGCTACTCCTGTGAACACATGAATGGTAAGAAAGTGAAACGGACTCACTGCTGATATGGAAAAAGTTTTAGTGGTCTGGATAGAAGATCAAACCAGCCACCGTATTCCCTTAAGCAAAAGCCTAATCAAGCCCAAGGCTCTCTCTCTTTTCAATTCAGTCAAGGCTGAGAGAGGTGAGGAAGCTGCAGAAGAAAAGACTGAAGTGAGCCAAGGTTGGTTCATAAGACTTAAGTAAAGACACCATCTCCATAACATAAAAGTGCAAGGTGAAGCAGCAAGTGCTGATGGAGAGGCTGCAGCAAGTTATCCAGAAGATCTATGTAAGATCATTGATGAAGGTAGCAATACTAAACAGAACAGTCTTCTACTGGGAAAAGATGCCATCTAAGACTTTCATAGCTAGAGGGGAGAAATCAATGCCTGGCTTCAAACCTTCAAAGGACAGGCTGACTCTCTTGTTAGGGGGTAATGCAGTTGGTGACTTTTAATGGAAGCCAATGTTCATTTAGCCTTCTGAAAACTCTAGGGCCTTTAAGAATGATATTCAATCTACTCTGCCAGTGCTCTAGAAATGGAACAACAGAGTCTAGATGACAGAACATCTGTTTACAACATGTTTTACTGAATACTTTAAGCCCACTGTTGAGACCTACTGCTCAGCAAAAAAGAATCCATTCAAAATATTACTGCTCCTTGACAATGCACCTGGTCACCCAAAAGCTCTGATGGAGATGTACAAGATGAATGTTATTTTCATGCCTCCTAACACAGCATCCATTCTGTAGCCCATGGATCAAGGAGTAATTTTTACTTTCAAGTCTTATTATTTAAGAAATTCATTTATAAGCTTAGAGCTGCCATACATAGTGACTCCTCTGATGGACCTGGGAAAAGTAAACTGAGAACTCCAAGGAAAGGACTCACTATTCTGATGCCATTAAGAACATTCATGATTCATGGGAAGAGGTCAAAAAATCAATATTAATAGGAGTCTAAAAGAAGTAGATTCCAACCCTCATGGATGACTCTGAGGGGTTCAAGACTTCAATGGAGAAGTCACTGCAGATGTTGTGGAAACAGCAAGAGAAGTAGAATTAGAAGTGGAGCCTGAGGATGTGACTGAATTGCTGCAATCTCAGGATCAAATTTGAACAGATGAGGAGTTGCTTCTTATGGATGAGGAAAGAAAGTGGTTTCTTGAGATGGAATCTGCTCCTGGTGAAGATGCTGTGAACACTGCTGAAATGACAACAAAGGATTTAGAATAGGATCATAAACTTAGTTGATAGAGTAGCAGCAGGGTTTTAGAGAACTGACTCCGATCTTGAAAGGAGCTCCACTATGGGTTAAATGCTATCAAACAGCATCGTATGCTACAGAGAAATCTTTTGTGAAAGGAAGAGTTGATCGATGTGGCAAACTTCATTGTTGTCTTATTTTACAAAACTGCCACAGCCAACCACCATCCTGATCAGTCAGCAGCCATCAACAAGGAGGCAAGACCCCCCACCAGCAAAAAGATTATGACTCACTAAAGGCTCAGATGATCATTAGCATATTTTGCCAATAAAGTATTTCTAATTAAGGTATATACACTTTTTAGGCATAATGTTAGTGTACACTTGAGACTACAATATAGTGTAAACACAACTCTTATATACACTAGGAAACCAAAAAGTTCATGATTTGCTTTATTTTGATGTCCACTGTACTGTGGTATCTGGAGCCACGTCTGCACCATCTCCCAGGTGTGCCAGTATCACCTTTTCCCTTCCTCTGAGCCCCCTGACAACACACATGTGCTTCTCAGAGAAGTACTACACCTCCTGCCTGCCTATCCTGATGGTTTTTAAATACCTTGAGGGCTAAGCCTGAATCTCACTCATCTCTGTACACCTCCAGTGCCACACATACAGTAGATAATCAAATACTGCTTGACTAATTTCACCTCAGTTCCCCTAATGAAGACTGGATAACCAAAACTCTCATTCATTTAGAGGATGTGAAATAGGCCTAAGGGTGTCATAAAACAGTTTACTGAGATGAAACAGCAAGCTGGGGATCAATCCAGGATAAAAATCCTTAAGAGTTCACTTTAGTAAATATTTATTAAGTGCCTAATATGTGCAAGGCATCATAAAACACAGCGGAGGGAAAGACATTAAAAATTACTGTAAGACAAAAGACATGATCAGCAACTCCACTTCCAGAATATCTCACTGAGAAAACTACTCCCCCATGTACACAGAGGCATGTGGAAGGACACTCACTGTGACACCGGAGGAAATAGGGAAAAAAGAAAAGGAAATCACATAAACATCCAACAGATAGAGAACTGACTGAGAAAATTTCGGCATATACATCCTATAGAATTTTATGGAACCATTAAGAAAGAACAAGGTAGAATACACATACACTGTCACGGAAAACACATGAGATATACTGCTGATTGTTTAAAAAGTCATAGAATTTTTTGCACATCTCAATTTTGCAAAAAAAAATGCAGACATACAAATATAAATGTTGCTGAATTTGAATATATGCATATACACATATCCGCAAGTGTGAACTGCATTTGGATTTCACATGCATGCACATAAGACACATATACAGATCTGCTCCAAGGAGAAATCTACAAAACTGCTTAGCAAAGTACTCAGAGGATGAGGTCCTGAAAGTGGGGACAGGAGCAGCTGGGGCAGGATTTTCACTTTTGGAACTTTTGCATCTTAATTTTTTTACCATGAACATTTCCTTAGTAACAAAAGATTGTAATAATAATAATAATAATAGAGTCCCTGTAGTATTTAAGATATATACAATCAAATAACTAGTTAATGACATATGACAAGAGAAGACCAAACATATCAATGGAAGGGAATAAGGAGGCCATAAAGAAACCTTTATCTCTATGGTCAGTTGATTTCAACAAGGGTGCCAAGATGGTTCAGTGGGGAAAGAGCGGTCTCTTCAACCAATGATGCTGGGACAACTGGATATCCCTTGCAAAATAATATAGTTGCACACCTACCTTACACCATATACAAGAATTAATACAAAACAGATCCGAGACCTAAACATTAAGAGCTAAAACTATAAAACTCTTATTAGAAAACAGAGGGCTAAATCATTATGACCTTGGCTTTGGCAATACGTTCTTAGAGATGACACCAAAAGCATGAGCAATGAAAGAAATAAATAAATAATTGGACTTTTTCAAAATTTTAAAGTTTTGAGTACCAAATGACACCATAGGGCAACTGAAAAGACAACCCACAGAATGGGAGAAAATATGTACAAATCATATACCTGATAAGGAACTTTTATCTAAAACATATAAACACCTTCCAGAATTGAATAATAAAATGAAAAATAATCCTACTTAAAAATGGGCAAAGGATCTAAATAGAAATTTTTCCAAAGAAGATATACAAATGGTCAATAAGCACAGGAAAAGATGCTCAACATCATTAGTCTCTAGAGAAACACGGGTTTAAACCACAATAAGGTACCACATCACACCCACGAGGATGGCTATAATTAAAAGGTCAACGTGTAAGGGTCAGCCATAGTGGCTCGCATCTGTAATCTTAGCATTTTGGAGGGCCGAGGCAAAAGGATCACTTGAGACCAGGAGTTTGAGACCAGCCTGGGCAACACAGTGAGGCCCTTTCTCTAAAAAACAAAAATTTTTTTTTAATTAGCCAGGTGTGGTGCCACATGCCTACAGTCCTAGCTTCTTGGGAGGCTGAGGCAAAAGGATTGCTTGAGCCCAGGAAGTCATGGTTACAGCGAGCTATGACTGTGCCACTGCACTCCAGCCTGGACAACAGGTGAGGCTCTGTTTCTAAATAAATAAATAAATTTTTAAAGTCAAATTATAATAAGTATTTGCGAGGATATGGAGAGTTACCACTTGATATGGCAATTCCACTTCTCATTGTACACCAAAGACAAATGAAAACATGTGTTCACATCAGCATTATCTGTAATAGCCAAAAAATGGAAAGGACCCAAATGTTCATCAACCAATGAATGGATAAGTAAAATGAAGTATATCTATACAATGGAGTATTATTCAGCCATAAAAGGGAATGAACTACTGACACATTATAACATGGAGAAACCTTGAAAGCACTACGCTAAGTGAAAGGAGTCAGACCCAAAAGGCCACACTGTGTGGCGTATTCCACAACAGGCAAATCTCTAGACACAAAAGTAGATTCGTGACTGCCTTGGGCTTGGGGAAATGCAGGGACCGGGGTGGGGACTGATAGCTACAGGGTAAGTAGGATTTGGTGGGGAGGGTGGGGGGTGGGGGTGATGAAAATGTTCTAAAAATGATTGTGGCAATGGTCACACATACCTGTGAATACACTAAAAACTATTAAATCACATGCCTTAAATGGATGTATTGTACAGCATGTGAATCACATCTCAATAAAGCTGTTACAAATAAAAAGGGAGAGAACACCAAAAACAAAGAGAAGCAGCCCAGACAGGAAGTCAATGAGAACAGCACAAGGAGGGATTCCAGTGGCCGGAAGCAGCCAAGAGAGGGATGGGTTCCCTAAGGCAGGCGCAGACTTAGACACAGGAGAAGCTCCATCCCATGGGCGGGACGGCAGCGATGTCTGCAGAAGGCAGAAGCTTCATAGCCTAGGGCAGGGCACCGGGGAAGAGGCACAGACAGGAAGAGACCGTGCGCCTGCCGCCATAGGTTCACTTTGGAAGGCGTGGGGTGGAAGGACTTGGATGAAGCCAGCACAGAAGGAAGCTTGGAAGTCAGGCAAAGGGAGAGGTCCAACCATCCCGAGGAGACGCTGAAAGTTTGTGAGCAAGGAAACATCACCACGGCCTGCGTGGGAGGTGGGATGAAAGGCTCGTCTGGTGGCTGCCCTGACTGCAGGGAATGAACGAGAGCACAGAGTTGAAGAAAAGGAGTTTTGATCTCAAGTTCGTGGAATAATTTGCGTGAGAATGACAAAGAAAGGGAGGAAATTAAGAAAATTATTCTAAGAAGGCAGCAGATCCGTTTGATTGTAGGTAAATACAAAAATCCCACATTGTAAAAGGGAGAAACCTTCCCAAGTTTGCCCATTTGCTCCTTTTTTGCGGCTGTAGCAACTAAGACCCTGAGTGAGTCAGTGTATGGGAGAATGAGGAGAAACATCTAAAGCCCCAAGTCCCCAGTAAGCACTTAGCCACATGCTGAGGGTGGAAACAGGACACCAGGCTGGGTGCGAAGTGACAGCAGGAGCAACGTGGAACATCTTTCTCCATAGGTGGGGACACGGAGCCAGCACTCAAGAGGGAACACTTCAGAGAACTTCCTGAAGCCAGCACTTCAGGGAACACAGGCTGAACAAAAAGATCTGGGCATCCAAATGGTGGCTGAAACTGGCTAAGAGCTCATTTTTAAATTTTCAGGAAACATGTGCTGGTTGACTTCATGACAGCAGTTTGGAATTGGCTACAATGGTATATCCACCATAGAAACTGGCCAGTGCTACAAACCAGGCCCTTTGAGGGAGGTGAAGGGCAGAGCCAGTTAGAAATTTACCAGCACACGACTGGACAGCACCCCCCATTTCAGAGTGGACCCTGTGGGAATGCACCAGGCCCCTGAGGGACTAGAAGCCCCGGTTGGGTGTCCTGAGGGAGGTCAGCAGTGAGGAATGAACCTCAGGGGTCCTGGGATCTATGTGGATGAGGATGAGGCAACCATGACAGGTGTGATCTACATGACAGTGGCAGTCACAGCTGACGATGTCCTAATCCACACCATGGAAAAGGGCTGCGTGACCAGGAAGACCAGGCCCTGTCATGCAAAAGACTCTTGGCTGGGTGCAGTGGCTCACGCCTCCAATCTCAGCTCTTTGGGAGGCCGAGGCAGGTGGATCACCTGAGGTCAGGAGTTCAAGACCAGCCTGGTCAACATGGTGAAACCCACGTCTCTACTAAAAATACAAAAATTAGCCTGGCGTGGTGGCGGGCACCTGTAATCCCAGCTACTCAAGAGGCTGAGGCAGGAGAATCATTTGACCCCAGGAGGTGGAGGTTGCAGTAAGCTGAGATCACGCCATTGCACTCCAGTCTGGGCAACAAGAGTGAAACTCTGTCTCAAATTAAAAAAAAAAAGAAGACTCTGATAGTGCAGCCCAGGCAAGGAGCAGAGGAAGCACCCCATCCAGAGGCAAACAGACAAGGGAGCGGTAACCACGGCCCACTGTCCCTCTTTATGAGGCACTCACTGTGATGGCAATGCGCTAGAAGCAGTGAGCAACAGCACTGAAAGGGAGTGACACAGTCCCTCAGTTTCTGGAGCTCACATTCGGATGGCAGGTGAGAAACGATACCCAGTAAACACACTGTTTCCCATGTCCTCCCTCACCTAAGCCAGGACACCAGCAACTGTAAACCTTACCATTATTTTACATGGCCTGATGAAAGACAAAAACCCTAGTGAAATTAACATTCCTCCTATCATACACAACATCCTATCATACACAACATCCCCACTTCAGAAATGCTTAAATGTATGCTGAAGAACCAATGGGGTGCACTAGTGATTGGTGCTATCTATGAAAGAAGAAACGGCTATCATAAAGTGATGGCAGCATGCAGGGCAGGGGGGGCAAGAAGCCGCATGCACTAGGGAAGCCTGCTTAGCCGTGACATTCCTGTTAAGACGCCCGCCCAGCGATGAGATGCTCAACCACATGTACATCCTGAAACCTAGTTCCAGGAGAGGGGAGAAGCACAGTCTCTGAGAAGGACTGAGTCTGGCATGTCCGAGGGCCCCACAGAAGGCCGGCAGGCCAGAGGACAGTGAATTAAAAGAAAGGGACCAGACGATCAAGCCAGAGGGGCAGGCACAGGCTAGACCGTATGAGCCCTGGCCAACCAGGGTAAAGCATTCACATCTGATCTGAGGGCACGAGGAGGTCACTGCGGGGGTTCTGCACAGGTGAGTGGGAGGCTAAGATTTGTCAGCTGCAACCCCAGGGGGCAGGAATGGAACCACACGACTTGGTTTGTAAGAGGTTAATGAAAACATTGGCAAGATTCTTGTTGGCACTAAGAGAGTTGTAATTTTTTTTATGTTGCCACAAAATACAGCAAGTAATATTTTTAATCAACAAATATACATACACACACAGCAGTCATGTGAGAATAAACACCATCTGGGCAGTGGTCCCTGCACCAACAGAACCAGAGGGGAGGCCTCCGGAGCCAGACGGGGCTGCGTGCTTGATGCCACGGCCCGCTGGTCACAGTGCCATCAGAGCTGGCCAGGAGGTCCTGTGTGGTCAATGGACAGAGGGCTAATATAGAGCAGTACAGGGGAGGAGGAGCTCTGCCCACCCTCCAGCTGCGTGGTGCTGCCCCAATTCTTTAGCTTCTCTGAGCGTCACTGTCCTCACCTAGGAAATGGAGCCTCCCTCAAGGCTGGCCTGGCTGCTGCGCAGCTCAGGAACTCAGTGCTTTGCAGTCAGACCAGCCCAGGTTTGAATCCCAGCTAAGCTGCATACCAGCTGTGTGACCTTGGCCAGGGGACTTCTTAGCTCTAAGTCAGTTTCCTCATCTGTTAAATGGAAAGAATTAATGGTACAGACTCTACAGTGATTTCCAGGATTAAATGAAGCAATCTACACAAAGCAGTTGGTACAATGTAAACAATTGATATTAGCTATTAAGTGAAAACTGCAAAGTGCTACACAAATATTAATTATAATCCATACCAGGCACATATTGGGTACATAAAAATACATGAGTTGATCAATAATAACAACAGTTAGCATTTGCCACAGACCATCAGCACTGTTCTAAGTGCTCTCCATGTAGCTTTGCAACCTTGAGCAAGTCTTTTCTCAGCTTGTCCATACTGTACACAAAATTAAATTGGGCACATTCTTTTTAAAGTGCCCTCCAGCTCTGACATCCTGTGGCTCAAACCTGAACCTGCCCTCACCCTGGAGTAACAGGGGGACACCAAGGAAAGGGGCCTCTTCCCTGCCGCTACCCTGGCACACTTGGCTGGCACCTCCATAAGACTCTAATGACAAAGTGAAGTCCAGGAAGAGACTCTCTCTCCTCCCCTCTCCAGCCCACAGTCCTTGCCCTACAAGCTCCGTGATGGAGGGGGAACGCGTGCAGAGTAGTGAAGGCCCACAGACAGTCTGAGTCAAATGCAAGGCCAGGCCAGGGAGAGGCCCAAGCCTCAATCTAAGCCACACACACACACACACACCCCTCAGCACTTCCACCTTAACAAATGCATTTGGAACCCAGATCCCACCTCCTTCCAAGGAAGAAACCAAAATCTGACCCTAACCAAAATGCCAGCCTCACCCAAAAGCAACTGTGAACTTAGAGGCAAGTTCCCAAATGGCTACAGATTTCTTTTTTTATTTTTTAGAGATAAGGCCTCCCTTTGTTGCCCAGGTGGTCTCAAACTCCTGGGCCCAAGGGATCCTCCTGCCTCAGCCTCCTGAGTAGCCAGGACTATAGGTGCATGCCACCGTATGGGTTTCTTTATTAAACCATACAGGTCTACGAGTAAGTCACATGGCCACCTCGCGACTAAAAGGTTGTAAGGAGAATGGTGCCATCTTAAAAACCTCAAGTAGGTATTATCAACAACTGAATGAACAAGGACAGGAGTGAGCAGTGTGCAGCTGACCCAATATAAGGTCATGATATAAGGTCATGAGGATGAGAGTTGTGATTGTAACTGAGTTGTGCCACCTTACTAACGCTACCTACCTACTGATTAACCTTCATCCAGCACTCACTGTGCACAGACCACCTCACTAATCCTCACAATGCCACACCCACCTTCTACTTGAGAAAACCAAGGTAGAGAGAGGTTAAAGAACTTGCCCAGTCCATGAAGCCACAGGACCAAAGCCTGACTGCAGGGAAAGCCGCCTGACCCCGGCCTGCGTGCTTAACTGCTGTGCTGCTCTGCTTTGAAGGCAGCAGGCTGCCACCCCAACAGCAAGAGCAAGGGGAGATGCACCTGCTAAGCAGCACTCAGGCCCCTAGAAAGGACAACCACTACAGAAGCTAAAGCGATAAAAAGAGGGGCCAAGATTGCTGTAGAAAGGCCAGGGAACCAACTGACTCCCAGCAGGCTCAGCCTCAAAGGGGACTGCACGCATTTCCCCGACTCCCCTGTCTGGAACCAGCCCCCCTATCAACCCCACCCCTGCCAGCACCGTCCCTCCCCTTACTCTGCTTTGCTTTCTTTGCAGCACTTATGACCTCCGGGCACAACAGACCCCAAGCACTTTTTTGTCTTCACTCCAACAGCACAGTGGCTCCACAGGCGCAGGGATTCCATGATGCTCCTGCTGTATCTTCAGGGCTTAGCACACCGGAGACACTCAAATGTTTGTGAACCACATGAATTAAATATTTATTAGAGGCCTGGGTCCATAACATGGTACTAGCATGATGGAGTATATAAAGATATGACATCCATGACCCTTCTACTCAAAGAGCTCATGGTCAAGCAGGGTGGAGGAGACAGATACAGAGGGAGAGAAGACAAGCCACTGAGCAGTGGATACCAGCGGCCCTCCTAAGGGCCCAGGAGGTTCAACAATGGAACTCCGAGTTCCAGCTAGAAGGGAGATGGCCTGAATTGGGCCTGAAGGGATGACAGCAGAGAAGGGGTGTGAGCAGAAGGTGGCGTTCCAGAGAGAGGTGTGGCATGAGCAAAGGCACGGAAGGGAGGGAGCTCCAAGGAGCACCACGGCTCAGTCTGGCAGGGACGTGAAAACATCAGGTGTGAGGAGTTGCTGGAGTGCCACCTGTTGAGAGCCTTGGATGGCAAACCAAGGAAGCTGGAACTGGGAGTCAGTGAAGGCTATAAGCAGGGATGTGGTCAGTCTTCTCTTTGCACAGGAAGGTCTGGCAAAGCAGGAGGAGGGACTGAAATCACGAAGGGGCTGGTAGCAGGGAAACCACCACAACAGTGCAAATCAGGAGGAGGAGCACTGAGAAGTGTGACAACTGAAGCAGTGACAGGGAGGGGATGGTTACAAAAGACGCCAAGGAAGTGAAACTATTTCAGACCATCTGACTGAATGCGCAGGTAAGAGGAAAAGGGAATGGACGGAATAGCGTGATCTCATTTGTACTTGCAGAAAGGAAAGAGTGCACTTGTATCCACGGCCTTGGGAAAACTCTGAAAGGATTCATGAGAAATTGTGACCAGCTGGCATTTAAAAATAAGATGCACTCCACAAGAAGAAAAACTCCTAAAGTAACAGGGATGAGGGAAAACTGATAGCAAGGCCCTGAGTATGGCTCGTGGGAAAGAGGCAGGCATCATTATTGAGCCACATTATTGATCTCTGTGTGGGTGTGTCATGTTCCAAGTCCATCCATGCAGCTCTGTTCCACAGGCAAACAGGTTGCACAGGAAGCTACAAGAGGCTACCTCTCTAGAAAGATGTTAGGGAATCCCAGGCATACAAGAGCCTAGGGGCAGGCCAGGTAAGAATGTAATTTCCCCACACTCCAGAGGCAGGCAGCAAAGCTCATGGCTAGAAGAGAAGACTGCAACCCAAGACTGATGATAAGGGTGCCTATTTAAGGCTAATGACAAAAACGACCCTGACTTGCCGTTCCTAGAGCATACTCCATATGCCAGGCTCCAGGTAAGGGCAGTCCCTGTGCAGCGATCGCCACTTTACAGATGAAGAAACTGAGTCAGGGAGGTGGAACGTGGGAAGTGCTAGGGTAATGACTCAAATCCAAACCCTGGACACTTAACAGGGACCCCTGCACAAGTAAAGGCAGTAACATGGAGCTGCTCTGAGGTGACAAGTAACCCTTTTCATAGAAGGGAAGACTGGGAAACAATAGAATGATTTGCAGTTCCCACTTCCTCCACCGACTGCTTTATGGAGCCCCAGGGAGATGGACGGGCAGAGCATCCGTATACCCACAAAACAGACAACCTACTTTAAAAACTAGTCGAATGTCAATATGAAAATGAGTATGTTTTTAGCCTTAAAAATGTTAACTACCTAGGCACATTTGGGAAGGCGCAATGGGGAGGCAGTTTAAGCATTAGTCTTTGCATTGAAAGTTCACACAGTTCACAAAGTGAGGCATCACAGGCAGGAGCGGTGTCATCGTCCTCACTCTGAGGATGAAGAGAGTGAGCTGCAGAGAGTGACTTCCCAAAGTTATACAGTGGGTCAGCAGCCGAGACAGGCCTACGCAGCCATGCTCCATCCACTCAACGCAGTGTTTTCCTAGGGCCTGCTGGGTGCTAGGCACTGGAAAACGAGGAAGAGATAAAATCAGCTCAGGCCTACAGCAGGCAGGCAGGGTGGGCTAGGGCAGGCCTAGCACCAGGACAGTGCCGATGTGGCCAGTTTCAGAAGGACAGGCTTCCAGGAGGCTCAGCCTGTCAGCTCCTGGTGCCAACACCCCGATGCCCGACACCCCAGTCTCTGTAGAGGTGTTGCCCAACCCCGTGATCCGAAGAAGATCACCCCCTTGCCTAAGGCTGTTGCCTTGGAGATTTTGTTCCCTAGCTCTTCAGTTTTCTATGAGCTGAAATTAGATGCACCGGCTGCTCACCACAGATGTCAATCCCAGAAAGGCAGAACAAGAAGAGCCCTCGGAGACCTCCTACACCAAGCATGGCACACACAAATGCCCACAGGAGTCGGACAGGTGGTGGAAACAAATAAAACAAGCCTGATTTTAAAAAATAAAATTTATAAAGCACCATGCAAGGATACCATGGTGTAACTGTAATGAGACTGCACAGCCACCTGAAGAGTGTAGCCACTTTGCAACTCCAGCAAAGTGTTGTCACACAAGAATGGCAGACTTTCCATTTGTTCCCCCAAAAAAGCTAAAAATAAATTTTATGTAAAGCCTCCCAACTTTTTTTTTTTTTTTTTTTTTTTTTTTGAGATGCAGTCTGGCTCTGTCGCCCAGGCTGGAGTGCAGTGGTGCGATCTCAGCTCACTGCAAGCTCCGCCTCCCAGGTTCATGCCATTCTCCTGCCTCAGCCTCCCAAGTAGCTGGGACTACAGGCACCCACCACCATGCCCGGCTAACTTTTTGTATTTTTAGTAGAGACAGGGTTTCACCATATTAGACAGGATGGTCTCGATCTAAAGCCTCCCAACTTTTAAATGGTGGCAATTACTTAAAATCAATTAATATCATTAAGTTTCTGGAGTCATAGTTTGAGGCAAGAAAAACTGAGCCAGTGGCTTAAACTTTTATCCAACAAGTATTTTACTGACTTGTGCCAAGCTCTGGCTTAGGTGCTGGGGACAGAGAGACGAAGAAGATGTGGCCCCTGTTCATGGGGCAGAAAGGAAGTAAGTGTGGAATAGATCATTTTGGCCCAGGGCACTAAGCCCTGGGAGGGGACCACAGAGTCTGCAGGGGACACCACCAAAGGCTCCTTCTGAAGGCAACACTTCCACCTGGCCAGCCAAAGGAGGAGAATCACAGGCACACATGCATGAAGCAGCTTAGGGTCCCGCAGGATCAAGTGTCCCTGCAGGGAGGCGCAGTGAAGGCAGAAAGTGGCGCCCACACATGAAGGACCTTGTGAGCCAGGCCCGGAAACATGCCTTTAACCAAGAGGCAAGGGGGAGACATGAAAGGATGTGACACAATCAGCCTCAACTCTGAACAGTCCCCGGGACACAAGAAGCTGGTCACGGGCTGCCTCTGGGAGCAGGACTGACAAAACACAGTGGAAGGGAGACAAGCTTTTCCCCGGGCAACTCCTTTTTAACTGTCTGCATTTAATGACCATCTCCTGGAAACCTGTTCAAAAGTAAAATTTGCGTTTTTTAAAAAAAATAGCCTGGTAGCACCAGAAAGTATAGATTTGTGGGAAGCAAGCTAATAAAGAACAATTTGTCAGCTGGTCAAGGGGAAGATAGTATAGGCCTGAACTGAGAGTAGGAAGGACAAAGAGGAGAGAACAAAACGGAGAAACTGCTGTAAGGTAAAGCTCAAGACTTGTCATGAATATAGAGAAAGAGAGGAACGTGGATGACCGCCAGCTTTCCGGATGAAGGACTGGATAGTAGAGCTACTCACAACAGAAGAGACAAGGGTCATCTCTAAGGGGGCAGAGAAGAAATGCGGGTGAGTCCCATTTGGACACAGTCAATTAAATGTACCCATGGGACATGCACGGGGGTGCTGGCAGGGTCATTTAGAAAGCTCTGGGTTGGATATTTAGAATCCAGAAGTCATGGGTGCATGAATGAGGATGAAAGAGAATGGCCAGGAACAGGGCACAGAAGGGATAGCAGGCTCAGAAACGGTCAGAAGCTCCTACCAGACACAGGAAGGGCAGAGACGGTGGTTGATGCTGGACACTAGTGCCACTGCGGAGAGCAGGAGCGACCCCTTCCAATAGAGGGAAAAGGCAGCACTTGAAGCCTGGGAGGATCAAGGCTGCCTTCCAGTGCAGCACGTTTACTTTCCAAATGTGGGAACTGGCCCGAGATGAGCCTAGTAAGGGTTACAATTAACAACCTTACATTTATATTATTTTATAGATTTATCTTTTACATACAGAGACCTTCAACATTGTACTGTGATACAAGAAAGGAGGAATGTAATGGAATTTCATCATATATGAGGATCATATGCTGAAGTCAGAAGGTGGAAATAACTTTTAACTCTTGTACTACTTAGATTGTATTACTGGTTACGCTGTACTATATTATGATAAAATTTAAAGGATATTCAACTAAACCCTTGAGAGTGATTCCTTCTGCACCTAAAGTACAGTGTGGTTGTGTAGACAGTCCCCTGCTGTCATTCTCACACACAGTGAGTTTCAGAACCACCAAGGCAGAAAAATGGAACGCACCAGCGGGAAATCTACATGCAGGTGTCTGGGCCTTCAACCATCCTGTCTTTAAGATGAGCCTCCACTCCTCAGCAGCTGAGGTGGAAAAGGTAGAGAGACCTAAAGTACTGTGCTTCCCTGCAGAATTTGCTTTACCTTGTTTTCTAATGCCTCAGCACTTGTCAGAACATGTGATGGATTCAGGAGCATCAAACAGAATAACACATGTGAAAGCAGCTAGCCCAGAAACCGGCACACAGTGTGTACTCAAGAACCATTTGTTGGACTTGAAATCAGAAGCAGATACTGTTCATTGAAAAGCAGCAGAGAAGTTGGCTGCCTGTTTTCTGGCTTTCCAAGCTGGCAATTCCTGATGCGGGCTCCATCAAACTGCACTCATCCAAACAGCCAGGTGAGCTTTACAGCTGTGGAAGACCAGAGACGATCTATAACGCAACCCCTTCGTGGTGTCTATGCTAAATGGGCGCATGGAGATGCTACATCATATCTCTATCTTGCACATAAGGAGAAAGACACATCCTTCTGAAGTGTCAGGGCATAAGTCCAGGTCTGGGATCTTCTGTTTCCCACACTGCCTTTAAGTGAGTCAACTAAGATGAATGCTGCAACCAAAAAGCAGACATTCTAGAGTGAACAGGATCCCAAGCACAGAGTTTAACATCCAGCAAGAACAAAAGAAAGAACAGGAAAAGTAATCATATAAAACATATCATAAGGAACTTCCATGTTCAAACTGAAACAGTCAAGGAGGCAAGCTCAGAAGCATTTCACTAGGCAACCACATGGCGGAAAACAAAGTCTGCCGCACACATCCCGAACAGGTCTGTGTTAAAGCCTGGAAGAATAAGATTCTCATGCACAGCTGCCACAAGATCGCCAGCTTGGCTAGAGAAGGACTGCCAATTCATTAATCCAAGCATGTAACCCAACATGTATATATTAATGAGCAGACACTATCATGAAAATCCAGGATTTGCCCTCTTAGAGCTTATAAAGGGAAAAAAGGACATAAGGACAGAGAGAAAGGAGTGGCTGTAACTATTAAAAGATAAAGTTACCAATCTGATAAGGGGCATCTACGAAAACCCTACACCTAACACACTTAATGATGGAAGACTGAATGCTTTCACCCTAAGTTCAGGAACAAGACAAGGACGTTCACATTCACAGCTTCTATTTAGCATTGTACTGGAGATCCTAGCCAAAGCAAGAGGGAAAGAAGAAGGGCATCCAGACTGGAAAAGAAGTCAGTCTTTATTTGTAAACAACATGATCCTACTTGTAAAAAGGCCTAAGAAATCCACCCCAAGAAAAACCCTACTTGAACTAATAAATGAGCCTAACGAGGTTGCAAGATACAAAGTCAATATACAGAAACCAACTATATTTCTATACATTAGCAACAACGAGCCCAAAAATAAAAGTAAGAAAACAACTCCATTCACAATAGCATCAAAAATAATAAAATGCTTGGGAATACATTTAAGAAGTACAAGACTTGTACACTGAAAGTAAAAAACACTCCTCAGAAAACTTAAGAAAGATCTAATGAATGAAGAGATATTTCGTGTATACTAATTGGCAGACTCCATGTTGCTAAAATAGCAATTCTCCCTAAAGTAATCTATAGAGTCAACAGAAATCCTATCAAAATCCCTGTCAGCTTCTTTGCAGAAGTTGACAAACTTATCCTAAAACGTATTCAGAAATGCAAAGGACCCAGAACAGATAAAACAATCTTGAAAAATAACAAAGTTAGAGGCCTTACACGTCCCAATTTTGAAAGAAAGCCACAATAATCAGCATGACAGCATGGTACTGGCATAAGGACAGACATAAAGATCAATGGAATAGAACTGAGAGTCCAGAAATAAACCCTAAATTTATGTGCAATGGATTTTCACAAAGGTTCCAAGATAATTCAATGGGGAAAGAATAATCTTTTCAACAGAGCCTGGAGAAATAAGATCTCATGAAGCAAACATCGATTTAGATCAGGGTTCAGCAAACTCTGGTGCTTGAGCCAAATCTAACCCACCAATTGATTTTGTAAATAAAGTTTTACTGGAACACAGTCAAAACCACTCACTTAAGCATATTGTCTATGGCTGCTTTCCCCTACAATGGCAGAATTGAGGACAGTCATCCTTTGGTATCCATGTAGGATTGGTGTCAGGACCTCTGTGGACACCAATATCTGAGGATGCTCAAGTCCCTTTTATAAAATGGCATAGTATTTGCATATAACCTACACACACCTACTATGCACAAAGATATCTTATAGCTTAACAATAAAAAGACAAATAATCCAATTAAAAATTGGCAAAAGATCTGAATACACATTTCACCAAAGAAAATATAAGGATAGGCACATGAAGAGACGCTCAACATCATTAGTTATTAGGGAAATGCAAATTCAAACCACGATGAGATACAATTTCACAGCCACTAGAATTGCTAGAATCGAAGATAATAACAAGTGTTGGTGAAGATATGAAGAAATTGGAATCCCATGTATTGCTGGTGGAAATATCAAATGGTACAGCTTCTTCAGCAAACAGTTCAGCAGTTTCTTTAAAAATTAAACCTGACAATTCACAAAATTCATAAACTGAATGACCCAACAAATCCACTCTCAGGTATCTATCCATGAGAACTAAAAACATTTGCCTGCAAAAAAACAACTTGTAAATACATAAATGTTCATAGCAGCGTTACTCACAATAACCAAGAAGTAGAAAAAATTCAAATGCCCTCAACTGGTGACTGAATAAGCCAAATGCAGTATATACATACAACAGGATACCATTCAGCAATAAAAAGGATGGACTACTGATATATACTACGACATCAATGAACCAACATCAAAAACACTTGCTCAGTGAAAGAAGCCAGAAATAAAAGATGCATTAATCATTTACGTTTACAGTCAGTCCTCCGTATCCATGGGTCCAAAGGAAAACATTTGAGAAAAAGAAACAATAAAAGATAATATACCAAAAAAATTATACAAATCTTTAAAAATACAGTATAACAACTATTTACACAAAATTTACAGTGTTTGGGTATTATAAGTAATCTGGAGATAATTTAAAGTATACAGGAGAATATGTGTAGTATATATGCAAATACACCATTTTCCATTAGGGACTTGAGCATCCAAGGATTTTGGTATCCATGGGGGTCCTGGAACCAACGACCCATGGATAGGTCATTGAAAGACCAAGAGGGGACTATCTACGAAATGTCCAGAGAAGGTAAATTTATAGAGAAACAGGATTAATGGTTACCTGGGACTGGGAGTGGGAATGGGGAGTGACTGCAAACAGGTCAAGGCATCTTTTTAGGTCTTGTAAATGTTCTATAATTGGATTGTGGTGACAGTTGTCCAATTCTGTCACCACAGTTTACTAAAAAGCATTGAAATGGGTGAATTTTATAATATGTAAAATGATGCATCCCAATAAAGCTTTTTTTTTTTTTTTTTCAAGAGATGGGGTCTTGCTACACTGGACTCGAACCACTGGGCTCAGGTGATCCTCCTGCCTCAGCCTCCCATGTAGCTGGGACTACAGGTACATACCACTGCACCTGGCTTACAACTGTTGGTTTTTGTTTTTAAAGAAAAATCAGTGTCACCAGACAGAACCTTTCCAAAGCTCTGCTCCTGACCAGAGAACTGCAGCGTGGCCTCCAGAATAACATGTTCACAGCCCTGCCTGGCATTTGGGCCCTGAGTCTGGCCTCACCACCTGCCACATCCTCAAGCATCCTACCCTCCTTGTGGCTGCCAAGCACATGGGCTATGGAGTCAGAGACCCTGAGGTTCCAGCACTGTGACCTTGGGTTACTTCACCTCACTGAACCTGTTTCCTCACTTCTGAGATGGGGATAATGACCCCTCACAAGGTAAGCATGTGGAATTTCTGGGGTGATGCTCTGAATACACTTGGCAGAGTGCTTAGCACAGAGTGAATATGCACTCTTCATAGGGCTGGCTCAGGCCACAGTCAACATCTCCTCCTGAGAGGCACTGCCTGACCATCCCACCTCAAGCAGGCAGCCCCAGTAGCTTTTGCACCCTTTTTGTTTCCTCCTTAGCTCTGGCAGCTCTTTGAGTCTTTTGCCTGTGTCTCTTCCTTTCTGGTCCATTCTCCCTACTGGGCTGAGGTCTCTATGATGACAGGGTCCTCGGCTTTGTCCCTCATTGTCTCAGCAAGGCCAGGCCCAGTGCTGGGCAAGTAACATGAAGGCAGTGGACATTCACTGAGGTGAGGAATAACTGGCAGTTGCAGGTGCAGCGCTCTGGCACACGGCCTCTCTGGCACTGGCACAATGGGGGACTCTCTTGTGTGTCTGACCACATTCTTCTTGATCTTCCCCTCCACCGTGGTCCAGAATCAGCCTCATGGGAGCAATGCATGACGGTAAAGTTGATCAAGCCTGGAGGGGATAATGACTCTGGGAACATGCAAGTGACTGGAACAGGGGTGGGCTCAGTGGTGGGAAAGGGGGAAAGGCTGGTGAACAGTGAGCAGTCTGGATGCTCACAAGCAACCAACATCAGCTGAATCACCAAAAAGGGCGGCTCATGTGGAGAGGAGGAGAGGGAAGGCAGACACATATGCGCCATGACTGCCATGTGTGCCTTCTCTTACTGAAGGATGAGGTTAAATGTACTGGTTAAAACAAAATCTTTACGTATTTCACACATTTGCTCTGAAAACTGGAGTTGAATATAACTGCAGCATTTTGCATTCATTAAATTTCTTTTACCTTCCATGGAATTACGGTTTGAACACACTTTGTGAATTTATGCAAACTAAGTATGTAAACTAGCAAGGCCTAGCACTTAATCTTTTTTTTTTTTTTTTTTAAGACGGAGTCTCTGTCACCCAGGCTGGAGGACACTGGCATAATCTCGGCTCACTGCAACCTCCCCCTCCTGGGTTCAAGGATTCTCCTACCTCAGCCTCCCAAGTAGCTGGGTGTACAGGTGTGTGCCACCATGCCCAGCTAACTTTTGTATTTTTGGTAGAGGCAGGGTTTCACCATGTTGGCCAGACTGGTCTTTAACTCCTGACCTCAGGTGATCTGCCCACTTCGGCCTCCCAAAGTGCTGAAATTACAGGCATGAGCCACCACTACCAGCCACTAACACTTAATCTTACAGGGACGAGAACACTTTCTAAGACCAGGCCTCAGGAATTAAATACAAATGGTCATTAAGAATATTCAACTTGCTCTAAAGAAGCTGGGGCAGATCTTCTTTGGCATCTGCTTCTCATTAAATGAACTGATTTGTTCCCTTTGGCAACTGTTTTGTTGATCTGGCAATCTTTTTCACTCACTTGCCTAAAGACAAGGTGAATTCCTCAACCCTCAAGTAACTCTGCTAACAGAAAAAGCCTCTACACCAAAACATCCTTTCTTCATACCATCACCTCCTTTCTTCAGTTTTCCTCTTTCAAACACAAGCAGAAGGAAGGACGTGGCTCTCATAACGTGGGGCTGTGCACCTTACTGTGCACCTCTGGACAAGTCATTTATCCTCTCTGATTAGTTTGCCCAGCTGGAAAAGAAAGCAGTCAGTCACCAAAGTTCCTTCCAGTTTTAAAACTAAGTGGGGCACTATCATCCCTGTCAGGACAGGTATGGGTATTGTCACAAAATTTTCAGGCTGCCTTGCATACATCATGGGGGGGAATTGCAGAAGTGAGAAAAAGTTGCTTTTTGCACCGAAAAGATCTTAATTAAAGTCCCAGAAGTTACTCAGGTTAACACCTTGGGCAAATTCCTTAACTCCTTTAAGCTCAATTCTCCATCTTTAAATACAGAGAATTTATATGTTGCAGAAGTATTTAAGAGAACTAGAAATGAAATGTACCTGTCTTATATAATACTCAAAAAACATGAGGTTTCCAATCAACTTGAAAGAAGGCACCCCCAAAGGCACTCCCCTGAACCTCTGAGGACTCCAACTTAACTTTCCAACATTCCCCAAAACAGGAGACCAAATCACAAGGGTGAGAGCACCCAAACAGAGCCAAGCTTATCTTTCTAAATTCCAATTCAGGTTCCTCCCTCTCGGCCTTCCAACACAAGCCATCTCCTCCCCCATTTAATCCTTGCCACGAGTGAGGTCCACAAAACTATACAACGCCTAGCAAGCACCAAATGTGCCAAGTACTCTGCTAGGCTAAGAAGAGAGGCCTCCACAAAGCACTCTCTCTGTGCGTTTCCTTAACACTTTCACAGACATCATCTTATCCTAGGCAGTACCTAGGATACATACACACCCAATTTTTTTTTTAATGTGGCCATTGAGGCTCAAAAGAGTTTTTTACCCAAGGTCACACAGCTAATGAGCACCTGCCAGAACTCCTGAAGTCTGTCTTTCTAAGCCACCTCCCTAATTCCTCCTTAATTAACTAATTCATCTACACCCAGCTCTGTGCGTTTCATTTAATCCTAGTCCCTTTTACTGGGTTCATTCATCTCTCCACAGTTACTTACAAAGCACCTGCAGGTGTAGACACAGGTGGAGGAAGAGGCCGAGCACAGCAACATGCCCTGGAATTGGCTTGTTTCAATCCCAGCTCTCCCACTTACTATTTACATGATCTTGGATCAGTTCGTTCACCTCTCAGTGCCTCACTTCTCCTTAATCTACAATAATGGGCTAAATAGGGCTGTTGAAAATTAAATCAGTTAACTTATAAAGGGTTTAGTCCAACGCATGGCCCCTACACTGCAATAAGAGCTGCTTTTATTCTTCTGGGTTCTGGGGACAGTCTTCAATCAGACAGGAACCTTAGCCTCAAAAAGCTTACACTCTAGCAGTAAACGCAATAAACAAGTAAACAATTATCAACAGAAGCGATCACTGTGATGAGTGCTATGAAAATAATAAATGTTGGACGCGGGGTGGGAGGTTACTTCAGATTGGGTGGTCAGGGAAGGATTCTCTGGTGATATCTGAATTACAACAAGAATTACAAGAAACAGCGGGATTTAAGGAGAGCTGAAGGAGAGAGAACAGCCGGCGCACAGACCCTGAGCTGAGCCAGCGGCACCCTCCAGGAAAACACGGCGGTCCTGAGGCTGGGGACGAGGTGCGGGTGCCACGCGAGGGAAATGGCACGAGATGCAGTCCCAGAGGGATGCAGTCCCCAGAGGTCGACGGGCAGCGGCCAGCTTTGGAACCAGGGAAGGCATCATCCAAGCGCGCTAGGAACCCACTGGAGGGTTTCAGGCAAGGAAGGGGATCAGATCTGAGCTATGGTTCTTCCTGCGCCCCGCAGATGTGCTGTGGAGAACAGGCCGGCGGGGAAGAGCTGAGTCCCCAGGCAAAGCCCAGGTGGGAGACACCGCGTACCCAGAACGAGATGCGCGCACCTGAGGGGCCACGGGCTGGGAGGCCGGGCGCAAATTCAAGAAACGTAAAAACTAAGCCGACCGGAGCCAGGACGTGGCCAGGGCGTCCCTCGTGTCCCAGGGGCCTCGCACCTGTACAGTTCTTCACTCCTCCTTCCCTGAAGCCCATGTCGCGAAGCTCCAAGGCTGCCAGCCTCGGGCTCGCGTCTCGGCTCAGCCTCTTCCTGGCCTGAGCCCCCGGAGTCTCCCAAGCCCCACGCCCCTCACGCGTGGAAAGAGCCCCGGCCCTGCGCTCCGCCCCGCACCTCCCCCCCGCGCCCGCGGCCTCCACGCCCGCCCCGGCCCAGGCGGCGCCGCTCACCCGGACACCCTGCAGCACCCGGACCCGCTCCTCCTCGTCCACTCCGAAGGACACCCTGCGGCCCTCGCTGCTCTCCGTGCTCCCCATGGCGAGATGCCGCAGGGCCGGCAGCCACCAGACCCGAGACCCGGCTCCAGAGCAACCGGGCCAACAACGCTTTCCAGGACTCGCGCGGCCGCGGCACACGCCAACAAAGCCACGTCCTATTGGCCGACGCCAGAGGCTTCACCAATCGGGTGGCGCTGAGTCGCGGTGCCTTGTGGGGATTGCAGTCCTTCCGTCTGGAGGGGTGGGGGCGTGGCGGTCTGTGCCTGCTAGAGTGCGTTAGGCTGAGGCCGAAGATGTGTACCGGCGGAGGCCCTGGAGTGGAGGGCTGGGTGCAGGACAGGGTCACGTTCTCGCTTTGGGAGCTCCCCCTTGAGGGAGAGCCAAGGGTGATGTTCTGAGGCCAGGAGACGCCGAGACGGCCAAGGCGCTCATCTGGAGGCGAATTTCTGAGGGTTCACTGCTCCATTCATTCAGCAAACACGTGTAGAGCAGCACGGGCTGAGCGCCAGACGAGCAGGGACCTGGCCCTGGCATTACAGCGCCCCTCAAGACAGCGAGTGTCCTGCCCTTGAGAGGTTTACAGTGCAAGGGGAAAACAAGTGAAAAGCCAAACACGCACGCAAGGAAACTGACTGTAATACACGGAAAACTGCATGGCGATGCCACTAGTAAAATGAACAGAAGGAGGCCTCTTTTAATTTCAGTGGCCAGAGCAACCTCTGAGGAAGAAGCTTTGAACTGAGCCGGCGGGAGAGTAGGATTTATGTAGAAAAAGGTAGGGGAAGAGGTTTCCTGGGAGTCTCAGGCAGGAAAAGAGAAAGAGGGGTCATCCCATGGCTGGAAAGTGAGAAGAGGGCAGAGGAGTGGTGAGGACCCAAATCATGTCGGGTCTTGTGAGGCAGGGTCTGAGTGTGGGTTTTATTCTAAACGCCCCGGGAGGACAGGGAATGGTCCTAAGCCGTTAGGAGGCATTGCCCAAGGAGTGTACATACCATGTGTGGAGTGCAGTGTGCCAGGCATTGTGTGTAGGCTTCTTACACAGGACCCTATGTGTAAGGGAGCACACAGACGGTTGCCAGTCATAGACACTGCTACCTTCAAATAAGCCCCTTTTTGTTCCTCTGAGTTGCTGAATGGCTTTGATTTGCAAAAGTGCGCCTGAAGCCGAGCTGAGGAAAACTAGATGGCTACATGAAATAGCCAGAAAATATTTGGAGCTCCTATTGGCAACCTGGAAAGAAAGGGGTGAGGAGGAGAGAATGATTGAGAGAGAGCAGTAAGGCTCTGAGATTGAGAATAGCTCAGGGTGAAGAAGCTAGTAAACATCCCAGAGCTGGTGTGACGATGGAATCTTTAGGAACAAAGGTGTCTGCTAGTTTCATTCAAAATACTTCATTGGCGCACCCCACTCCATCACCTCTGTCGTCCATTTCTTCCCTATAAGCAGAGCCTGCGTAGGGGATTCTGGTGCAAGGAGTTTCCTGGGGGAGCACCTCAGGAGAAAGGAAGTTAGGGAGACAGGCTAAGAGGGGTGGGGACCGGGGGCCGCGGGGAAAACTGAGTAAAGATGTGGTCAGACCTGGTCCTGGGCTTTCCTTTGTCTCTTTTCCTTGGAGGTTTATGATTACTAATTCAATCTCCTTACTCGTTATTGGTCTGTTCAGATTTTCTGTTTCTTCAAGACTCAGTTTGGATAGATGGTATGTTTCTGGGAATTCGTCCATTTCTCCTAAATTATCCAGTTTCTTGGTGTATAATTGTTCATAGTAGTTGATTATGATCTTTTGTATTTCTGTGATATCAGTTGTAATGTCTCCTCTTTCATTTATACTTTTGTTTATGTGAATTACCTTTTTTCTTGGTTAGTCTAGCTAAGGTTTGTTAATTTTGTTGATCTTTACTGTTGATCTTTTCTGTTGTTTTTCTAGTTTCTATTTCTGCTCTCATCTTTTTTATTTCCTTCAGTCTGCTGACTTTGGGGCTTAGTTTGTTCCTCTTCTAGTTCCTTGAGATATAAAATTAGGTTGTTTGATGTCTTTCTTTTTTCTTAATGTAGGTATTTTTCGCTATAAACTTCCCTCTTAAAAATGTTTCTATTGCATCCTATAAGTTGTGGTACCTTGTGTTTCCATTTTCATTTGTCTCAAGATACTTGTTTATTCCCCTTTTGATTTATTCTTTGGCTCATTGGCTGTTCAGGAATGTGTTGTTTAATTTCCGCACATGTGTGAATTTTCCAAAGTTCTTCCTATTACTGATTTCTGACAACAAACTATTCAAAAAGAAATTAAGAAAATGATCCCACTTACAATAACACCAAAAAGAATAAAATATGAATAAATTTAACCAAGGAGGTGAAAGAAAGATGCACACAAAAAATTGCACACTAAAAATTATAAGACACTGTTGAAAGATACTATAGGAGACATAAATAAGTAGAAAGATAGCCTGTGTTTATAGATCAGAAGAATTAATATTGTTAAAATGGCTTTACTACCCAAAGTAATCTACACATTCAATGTCATCATTATCAAAATTCTAATGACATTTTTCACATAAATAGAAAAAACAATTCTAACATTTCATATGGAACCACAAAAGACCCCAAATCATCAAAGCAATCTTGAGAAAGAAGCAGAAAGCTGAAGGCATCATACTCCCTGATTTCAAACTATATTACAAAGCTGTAGTAATCAAAAGAGTATGGTACTGGCATAAAAATAGATACATAGATCAATGCAGAAAAATAGAGAGCCCATGCATATATGGTCTACTAATGTTTGATAATGGTGCCGAGAATATACACACTATGGAGAAAGGAAAGTCTCTTCAATAATTGGAGCTGGAAATACGGGATATCCACATTCAAAAGAAGGAAATTGGACCCTTGTATTACACCACATAAAAAATCCATTCAAAATGAATTGAAGACTTAAATGTGAGATCTGAAACCCCAAAACTCCTAGAAGAAAACATAGGTGGAAAGCTTCTTATCATTGGTCTTGATGATAATTTTTTTGGCTATAACACCAAAAGCACAAACAACAAAAGTAAAAATAAACGAATGGTATGACATCAAACTAAAAAAGCTTCTCCACATAAGAGGAAACAAGCAGCAAACTGAAAAGGCAACCTACAGACTGGGAGAAAATATTTGGGCACCATATATCTGATAAGTGCTTAATATCCAAATATACTCTATAAGGAACTCACACAACTCAATAGCAAAAATAAATACCCAATTTAAAAATGGGCAAAGGACTTGAATAGACATTTTTCTGAAGAAGACATGTGAATAGCTAACAGGCATATGAAGAGCGCTCAACACCACTAATCATCAGAGAAATGCAAATTAAAACCATGGTGAGATATCACCTTACACCTGTGAGAATCAGTATTGTAATAAAGACAAGAGAAGTGTTGGTGAGGATGTAGAGAAAAGAGAACCCTGCACACTGCTGGTGGGAATATAAATTTGTAGAGCCATTATGGGAGAGAGTATGGCAACTCCCCCAAAAGTCAATACAATCTAATAATCCTATTTCTGTATAGTTAACTTTAGCCTAAAGCTGCTTCCTTGTAAGTTCAGCCTAAAGGTTGATCCATACATAGTGAACTGTAATCTAACTGGATGTGTAAACAGACTGTAACCTACTCTTATAACAAGTAGCCAAGTCTCAGCCAATCAGAAGACATACTACTCACAGGTGGCCAACTGTTCGGTGTTCAAATAAGTCTGTAACCCAGCTGTAACCAATCTGGCTATTTCTGTATTTCACTTCCATTTTATTTATGTCATTTTCCTTTTCCTGTCCCTAAATCCTCTCCAACCCCACTGGCAGCACTGAAGTCTCTTTGAAGCTATTCTGATTTGGGGGGCTCCCTGATTTGTAACTTGTCCTTTTCTCAAACTCTTTAATCAGTCTCAAGTTTTTCCTTTAACAGTATATATCTAAAGGAAATGAAATCTTGAAAATATATCTGCTCCCCCATGTCCATTGTAGTATTATTCAAAATACCCAAAATATGGAAACAACCTGTGTCCATCAACAGATGAGCAGATAAAATGTTTTACACACACATATATATACATACACACACACACACACACGCGTGTTTTATCCAGCCATAAAAAAGGAAATCCTGCCATTTGTGACAACATGGACGAACCTGGAGGACATTTTGCTAAGTGAAATAAGCCAGGCACAGAAAGACAAATACTGTATGATCTCACTTATATGTGGAATCTAAAAAAGTTGAACTCATAGAAGCAGAATAGAACATTGGTTACCAGGGATTAGGAAGTGGGGGCATGGGGAAATGGTCAAAGGGTACAAACTTTAGTTATAAGATGAACAAGTTCTGGCCAGGCACAGTGGCTCACGCCTGTAATCCCAGCACTTTGAGAGACTGAGGCAGGCAGATCATTTGAGGTCAGGGGTTTGAGATCAGCCTGACCAACATGGTGAAACCCCATCTCTACTAAAAATACAAAAAATAATTAGCCGGGCATGGTGGCACATGCCTGTAATCCCAATTACTTGGAAGGCTGAGCAGAAGAATCGCTTGAACTTGGGAGGTGGAGGTTCCAGTGAGCAGGACCTCACCACTGCACTCCAGCCCTGGTGACTGAGCGAGACTCCAAATCAAAAAAAAAAAAAAAAAAAGATGAACAAGTTCTGAGGATCGAATGCACAGCATGGATGGTGAATGATGTGTTAATTTCATTGTGATAAGCATTACACAATGTATATGTATATCAAACCATCACATTTTATACTTTAAATATATATAATCTTTGTCAATTAAAAAAAATTTTTTTGAGACATGGGCTCACTCTGTTGCCCAGGCTGGAGTGCAGTGGCATGAAAAGAGCTCACAGCAGCTTTGACCTCCTGGGTTCAAGGAATCCTCCTGCCTCTCAAGACTATAGGTGCATGCCACCACACCTGGCATATATATATATAAAATAGAGACTGGATCTCGCTATGTTGCCCAGCCCAGGCTGGTGTTGAACTCCTGGGCTCAAGCAACCCTCCCACCTTGGCGTCCCAAAGTGCTGGGATTACAGGGGTGAGTCACCGCATCTGGCCATGGGGCCGGACAGCCACCGAGTATTCAGAGGGCCACCAAGACATCTGTGCTGAGCTAATTTAGCAAAACGAGTGAGAGCCAAGGGTGACCATGAGACTCTGTGTGGCCTCACTCCCACTGTGAAGAATCCTTGGGGAGTCTTGAAATTCCACAGACTTACAGCAGCATAGGTAAGCCTCATGACAACCCAGTATATTCTTTATCTCCACTTCACAGATGAGAAAACCGAGGAGCAAGCAGGTGAAGATAATGCAACATTATTGATCCAAAGTAGGAGGAGGATAAAGGCAGTGGCAAGGGACGTGAAGGAAAGGAGGGGGAGGGAAGCAGAGCTTTTTGAGTAAGTTCCTTGTGCCAGGAGTTTTATTACCCTGTTCTAAGGCCCAAAAAACTGAGGCTCTGGGGAGGGAAGGTGTTGTGACGGGTCTGCTCATGGCTACCTGGCACCCAGTTTCCCCTTCCCTACAACAGAACCCCAATTTCCTGAGGTGCAGGCATGTGCCCAATTAGAAAAAATTGCCTCCTAGGCTCCCAGTGGCCAAATGCAGGACAATTTGAACATCAAGAAGAATAGAAAGAGTAATGGCTTATAGCACATTTAATTGATTTAAATCCATTAGCCTATTCTAGTGAGAGGGAGGAAGAGAGGGAGACAGCAACAGAGAGAATAGGAAAGAGGGTAAGGAAATTCTTCTTTACACAAAAATGCCAGCTAACCAGTACAGCGGGCATTTGAGATTTTTTTAAATTGCCACTTTGCCACCTTCAGAGGATTAACTGAGGCAAAAATCATCAAAGGATACTAAAGCCATTGAGTGGAAAAATTGTTGGGGGACAGGCTATTCACCCAATGTGCTGGGACTACCTTGGCCTCCCAAAGTGTTGGGATCACAGGCATGAGCCATCATGCCTGGCCACAGGGCCTGACAGCCACTGAGTATTCAGAGGGCCACCAAGACATCTGTGCTGAATTTTTTCTGCCCCAAAGGAAATTGGGGTTCTGTTGCAGGGAAGGGGGGACCGGGTGCTAGGCAGCCATGAGTGGACCTGTCACAACACCTTCCCTTCCACCCAACGACAGATTTATTCATTACAAAGGGAAAACCATATTACAATGATGACATCTGGCAGTCACTACCTTAACCAAATGACCAAATTTAGCATCTCAAATAGTGGGACCATCTGGCACAATGTCCCTCCCCAAGTGATACAATGAGGAACACAAAACATCTCCAGTGCAGTATTCTTGTCAAAAGTGTAACCTGAATCTAATGGTGAGGACACAGTCAGACAAATCCAGGAACATCCTAGGAAACAACTGGCCTGGACTCTTCCAAAAGGTCAATGTCATAGGAAATAAAACAAAAAAAAAAAGGTAGCTTAAAAAAGACGAAGGAGGCCAGGTGAAGTGGCTCACACCTGTAATCCCAAAACTTCTGGAGGCCGAGGTGGCAGGATCACTTGAGGCCAGGAGTTCGAGACTAGCCTGGGCAACATAGCAAGATCTCATCTCTAAAAAAAAAAAAATTTTTTTTTTAATTAGCCGGGTGTGGTGGTGTGTACCTGTAGTCCCAGCTACTCAGAAGGCTGAGGTGGGAGGAGTGCTTTAGCCCGGGAAGTCAAGGCTGCAGTGAGCCGTGATTAGACCACTGCACTCCAGGCTGGGTGACAGAGTGAGACCCTGTCTCTAAAAAATAAAATAAAATAACAAAATAATAAAAATTTTAAAAAGAGATGAAGGAAGCATAGCACTGAAATGCAGCAGTGAATCCTAATTGGATCCTGAACTAACACAACAACAGCAAAGCTATCAAAAGATACTCAGGCTTTTTGGGAATGCTTTATACATGGGATAGTGTCTTAGATGATACCGTGGAATTAATGTTCATCTTGTTCTTGGGATATGCATGTTGAAATATTTAGGAGTGGAGTACCATAATGTTTACAACTTACACTCAAATGGTGTGAAAGAGAAATGTTAACATTAGGTGACTGTAGGTGACATATATCTTAGAGTTCACTATATTATTCTTTCACTGTTTCTATGCATTTGAAAATTTTCAGAACAAAAAAGAGGAGGAAAAAAAAGCTTTCCTCAAAGCAGGAAGTGACCATGTGACCCAGCTCTTGAGCAGAACAGCACAGTACTTATGTGGGATGGGGCACAAGGCTGAGCTCTGCCTTTTTCTAGACTGGCCCCTCAAGCAATTCGTGGAATATCTCTGCGCCTCTGTTTTCTGAAGGATGTGAGAATGCTGCCAACATTACCTGGAGTATTTGTCCAGAGAGCTTGGTACTAAGGGATCTCATTCAGCAACAGCTGTTGTTATTCAAAGACTTTGTTTTTGGAACAAATACTTTGGCAACCAATACGGAGGGTGTACTGGAGCGGGGAGTTCTGTGAGGTGCCTTGTCTTAAAGTGGGTTCTTCAGAAGCAAACAAGAAGAGAAGGGCTGGTGGAGTAGAAAAGTAATTTGCTTTGTCCATGTTAAAAGCCAAAAGGGAGCCAGGTGTGGTGGCTCATGCCTGAAATCTCAGCACTTTGGGAGGCCGAGGTGGGCGAATCACTTGAGGTCAGGAGTTCGAGACTAGCCTGGCCAACATGGCAAAACTCCATCTCTACTAAAAATACAAAAATTAGCCGGGCATGGCGGTGCATGCCTGTAGTCCCAGGAGGCTGAGACAGGAGAATTTCTTTAACCCGGGAGGCAGAGGTTGCAATGAGCCAAGATCACACTACTGCACTCCAGCCTGGGTGACAGAGCGAGACTCTGTCTCAAAAAAAGAAAAAGCCAATAAGGAGCTTTCCTCGCAACATCAGAAACAGGAGTGTCTGCCTTCTCCACTTCTATTCAATATTGTACTGGAGGTTCTAGCCAGAGCAGTTAGACAAGAAAATGAAATAAAAGTCTTCCAGATTGAAATGGAAGAGGTAAAACTATCTCTATTTGCAGATGATATGATCTTGTATGTAGAAAATCCTTAAGAGATTCACACACACACATACACACACACACACACATTTTAGTAGTGCTAATAAGCAAGTTGAGCAAGGTTGAGTGTATGAGATACAAAAATCAGTTCTATGTTATGCACTAGCAGTGAGCAATTAAAAAATGAAATTAGGAAAACCCCCCTTACAATAGCTTCAAAAACATTTAACCAAAGAACTACAAGATTTGTTCCCTGAAAACTGCAAAACACTGTTGCCTGGGCAGGGGGACAGAAATTGATAGGAAAATGACTTAAGGGATGTTTGTGAGGGATGAAAATATTCCCTATTCTGATTAGGGTAGTGGCTATGGTGTCTACATTTATCAATACTCTTCAAGCTGTATACTTAGTATCTATGCATTTTGTCAATACCAACCTGGGCAACATAGCAAGACCCCATCTCTACAAAAGAAAATTTAAAAATTAAAAAGACACATAGACAAATAGAACAGAATAGATAACTCTGAAATAAAACTGCACACTTACAACCAGCTTATCTTCAACAAAATCAACAAAAATTAACAGTGGGGAAAGGACTCTCTAGTAAATAAATAGTGCTGGGGAAACTGCTGTGAAACTGGGAGAACTGTATGCAGAAGAATGAAACTGGACCCCTACCTCTCAACCACATACAAAAATTAACTAAAAATGGATTAAAAACTTAAATGTAAGACCTCGAACTATCAAAATCCTAGAAGAAAATCTAGAAAATACTCTTCTGGACATCAGCCTAGGCAAAGAATTTATGACTAAATCCTCAAAAGCAAATGCAACAAAAACAAATTAACAATTGGGACCTAATTAAAGAGCTTCTGCACAGCAAAAGAAACTATCAACGGAGTAAACAGACAACCTACAGAATGGAAGAAAATGTTTGCAAATTATGCATTCAGCAAAGGACTGATATCCAGAATCTGTAAGGAACTTAAACAAATCAACAAGAAAAAAATAACCCCATTAAAAAGTAGGCAAAGGATATGAACAGACACTTCTCAAAAGACACACATGCAGCCAACAAGTATATGAAAAAACGTTCAACATAACTATCAGAGAAATGCAAATCAAAGCCACAGTGAGATACCATCTCACACCAGTCAAAATGGCTACTATTTTAGAAAAGAACAGATGTTGGGGAGGTTGTGGAGAAAAGGGAATTCTTACACTCTGCAAGTGTAAATGTAAATTAGTTCAGCCCCTGTGGAGAGCAGTTTGGAGATTCCTCAAAGAACTAAAAATAGAAATACCATTTGACCCAGCATTCCCATTATTGGGTATATACCGAAAGGAATATAAATTGTTCTACCAAAAAGACACTTGCATGTGTATGTTTATCGCAGCATTAGTCACAGTAGCAAATACATGGAATCAACCCAGGTGCCCATCAACAGCAGATTAGATAAAGAAAATGTGGAACATAAACACCATGGAATACTACACAGCCATAAAAAAAGAATGAAATCATGCCCTTTGCAGCAACATGGATGCAGCTGGAGGCTGTTATCCTTAGCAAATTAATGCAGAAAGAGAAAACCAAATATTACATATTCTCACTTATAAGTGGGAGCTAAACATCAGGTACACAAGGACATAAAGATGGGAACAATAGACACTGGGGACTCCAAAAAGGGACAAGGACTGGAAAACTCCTTATAGGGACCATGTTCATTATCTGGGTGACGGTATCAAGAGAAGCCCAAACCTCAGCATCATGCAGTATACTCTTTTAACAAATCTGCCCGTGTACCTCCTGAATCTAAAATAACATTTAAAAAATTAAAATATTAGCCAGGCATGGTGGCTTCACACCTGTAGTCCCAGCTATCGAGAGGCTGAGGTGGAAGAAGGCTTCAGTAGTTATGATTGCGCCACTGTGCTCCAGCCTGGACAACAGAGCATGGCCCTAGCTCTTAAGGGTGCTGGGGGGAAGGTATAAAATATTTTTGGGATTTGACACCATCATGTTTTATTTCTCACTCAGGCAAAATGTGGATGGAGGGGGCTGGGCAATCCTGGCTAACAGAGGCTCTGCTGTGCTTGAACTGTGCTGCATGGAACATGTGGCTTCCAAGGGCAGTTCAGCAGGGTAGAGTGAGCCTCCCAGACTACAGCTTTGAGTGCCAGCTTTCCCAGCCTGGGTGACCCAGCATTTCCCTCTACATTCCCCTGGCCAGTGCTGGCCACATGGCCCCACCCAACTGCAAGGCTGAGAGGTGCTGTCTTCCCTCGGTAGGAAGGAAGAAAGAAAGAGGAAACCAACTCGTAAGCATTAATAACATCACGCACAACTGATGAAAACAACTCACTGATATCTTATTGTTTTCTGAGAAGGTCCCTGTAAGAAAAATATGTTGATAATAACCAAGACATTCCTCACACTGAAAGAGCACAGAAAAGCTAAACCACAGTTTATTTCGTGAGCAGCTGTGTCTTGATGATGGCATATACATGTCTTTTGCTGTACAATAACTATAGTCCATGCATCTTCTGCCTTAGGGAGGTGTTTCCTGGGTGCTAAAGGTCTTTCAGCGAAGCTGGCATGCATTTAACTTAGAAGGCAAATTCTTTGTGCTGCTCTTCACTTCTCCTTATATTTTTCATTTCACTGTGCACCGATAACGTTACCAGAAAAAGGGGTCTTGATCCAGATCCCAAGAGAGGATTCTTGGATCTCGTGCAGGAAGGAATTTAAGGCAAGTCTCAAAGTTCAGTGAAGGAAGCAAGTTCATTGAAAGCTACTCCATTACAGAGCACGGCATCCTTAGAAAGCAAGCGGAGGAACGCACAGTCTTGTTTTATGTTTTTCTTAGATAGGGGTCTTGTCTATACAAAGACTAAACTAAACTGTGACTACATGAGGGTGAGCAGACAGCATGACAAAGTTGATTTAAAGAAAACTCTCCTTGACATTTCAGTGTGTGCGTCCATCAAAGCATAGGTGTTATTAACTAGAAAGCATACATGGTTACGGGTATGGGGATAACTAGACTCTCCATTGTTGTAGGAGTGTCCTTACGGGAATCTTTAGGCTGTTTCCTCAACCATAAGCATCTTCGGACCACGGGTCATGACTGGCAAGGAATGTGTCTTGTTAGTCAAGATGGAGCTGAACTTAAAATGGCATTACTCTGGCTCTCCTAGGCTCCTACTTCCCTAACAATAATGGCTCCCTCTAGGCTAAAGTTTGCAAACTGCTGGTGAGAAATGGAGCCTTGATGGGAAGGGAGGATGCTCACGTGTAGGCAGGAGGAGCTCCCTGGAAGGTCGGTTCCCAGGGCCACTGGAGAGGAGTGGCTGAAGGAGCAGGTCCTAGTGGTTGTGCAGAGCATCTCCTGGCTTTCTGCAATTCTTTTCCTTTCTGAACCTCAGGTGCCTCAGCTGTAGGATGGGGTTGACTTGAGCCCCTTGTTCCCACCACCCTCAGACCTGAAGAAGAAGAACAGCTGGATCTGGGGGTGTTTGTCCTCTTGAGACAGTTCAGGCTAGCCACTGAGGCTTCTGTTGAATTGGTTGCAAGCTGGATGGATTTTCTAAAGTGTGCGTGAGGAGTGAGTAGAGGAAGAGCAGTGTATTGGAGGAGTGGGGCTTAGAGTGAAGGAAGGAGAAGAGACAGAAACTGTGTGGGGAGAGAAAATCTGGGAAAGGAGGTTTTGGTTAAAAGTGGCAGTGGTGTTTTCTGATATCATCTCTGACACCAAATACATATCATTTCCCCCATACCACCAAGTTCTCCAATTCTCTGACATCAGATAGGTATCCTAGAGATCAGTCCAGTTCTGATACCAACTCCTGGAGTCAGTGCAGGCCCCACAGGTTAAGGGCTCAATCACACAAGACTGCCCCCCACTTCAGATGCTGGCCACAAATGGGGTGCCAAGGCTGACAACCAGTTCAGTGATTCCCACCACCCCCCTCAGGTTTGATAATCACTGGAACAACCAACAAAACTCAGGAAAGTGCTCTACTCACTGTTACGGTTTCTTATCAAGGACACCATTGAACAGCCAGATGAAGAAGTATGTAATTTGAGGTCTGGAAGGGTCCAAATGCAGGAGCCTCTGTCCCTACCGGGTCCGGGTGGATGGCATGTGGATGTGTTCACCAACTCAGGGACTCTCTGAACCTTGTCGTTCAAGAGTTTTTATTGAGCTCAATCTCCAGCCCCATTTTATCCCCTCCCTGGAATAGAATAAAAGTCAGGGGATAAGATAAAAGTTCTTACCTTCTAATCATGTGTTTGGTCTTTCTGGTGACCGGCCCCCATCCTGAAGCTGTCTAGAGACACCACTCTGAGTCACCTCATTAAGGTATACTCCAGTGAGTCCCAAAGGGGCTCCTTATGAATAACAAAAGATGTTCCTATCACTTAGGAAATCCCAAGCGTTTAAGGAACTCTGTTCCAGGAACTGGGGACAAAGACCTAATATATATTTTTACCATATCATGGTGGCAGATTAATAGATTTTGTTCTGCGATATGTAATACAACACTGATATAGTTTGGATATTTGTCTCCTCCAAATCTCGTGTTGAAATGTCACTCCCACTGCTTGTTATTGGTCTGTTCAGAGTATCTAATTCTTCCTGATTTAAGCTAGGAGGGTTGTATCTTTCCAGGAATTTATCCATCTCCTCTAGGTTTTCCAGTTTATGCACATAAAGGTGTTCATAGTAGCCGTGACTGATCTTTTGTATTTCTGTGGTGTCAGTTGTAATATGTCCTGTTTTGTTTCTTAGTGAGGTTATTTGAATTTTCTCTCTTCTTTTCTTGGTTAATCGTACTAATGGTCTATCAATTTTAATTTTCTTTTCAAAGAACCAGATTTTTGTTTCATTTATCTTTTGTATTTTTTTTGTTTCAATTTCATTTAGCTCTGCTCTGATTTTGGTTATTTCCTTTCTTCTTCTGGGTTTGGGTTTGGTTTGTTCTTGTTGCTCTAGTTACTTGAGATATGATCTTAGATTGTCCATTTGTGTTCTTTCAGACTTTTTGTTGTAGGTGTTTAGGGCTGTGAACTTTCCCCTTAGCACTGCCTTTGCCATATCCCAGAGGTTGTGTCACTATTGTTGTTCAATTTGAAGAATTTTTAAATTTCCATCTTGATTTCATTTTTGACCCAATGATCATTCAGGAGCAAGTTATTCAATTTCCATGTATTTTCATGGTTTTGAAGTTTCCTTTTGGAGTTGATTTCCAGTTTTATTCCACTGTGGTCTGAGAGAGTGCTCGATATAATTTCAATTTTCTTAAATTTATTGAGGCTTGTTTTGTGGCCTATCATATGGTCTATCTTGGAGAAATTTCCATGTGCTGATGAATAGAATGTATATTCTGCAGTTGTTGGGTAGAATGTTCTGTAAATATCTGTTAAGCCCATTTGTTCCAGAGCATAGTTTAAATCCATTATTTCTTTGTTGACTTTCTGTCTTGATGACCTGTCAAGTATCGTCAGTGGAGTACTGAAGTCTCCCACCATTATTGTGTTGCTGTCTATCTCATTTCTTAAGTCTATTAGTAATTGTTTTATAAATTTGGGAGCTTCAGTGTTAGGTGCATATATATTTAGGATTGTGATATTTTCCTGTTGGACAAGGCCTTTTGTCATTATATCATGTCCTTCTTTGTCTTTGTAAACTCCTGTTGCTTTAAAGTTTGCTTTGTCTGATGTACGAATAGATACCCCTGCTTGCTTTTGGTGTCCATTTGCATGGAATGTCTTTTTCCACCCCTTTACCTTAAACTTATGTGAGTTCTTATGTGTTAGGTGAGTCTCCTGAAGGCAGCAGATGGTTGGTGAATTCTTATCCATTCTGCAATTCTGTATCTTTTAAGTAGAGCATTTAGGCCATTTACATTTAACGTTAGTATTGAGATGTGAGAGGTACCATTCCTATTTGTTGCCTGTAAACCTTGTTTTTTTGTTGCATTTTTGTTTTATAGGTCCTGTGAGATGTATGCTTTAAAGAGGTTCTGTTCTGATGTGTTTCCAGGATTTGTTTCAAGATTTAGAGCTCCTTTAGCAGCTCTTGTAAAAAAAAAATTACCAACAAATAAACGTCCAGGACCAGATGGATTCACAGCTGAATTCTACCAGATATTCAAAGAAGAATTGGTATCAATCCTATTGACAGTATTCCACAAGATAGAGAAAGAGGGAATCCTCCCTAAATCATTCTGTGAAGCCAGTATCAGCCTAATACCAAAACCAGGAAAAGACATAACCAAAAAAAGAAAACTATAGACCAATATCCCTGAGGAACATAGATGCAAAAATCCTTAACAAAATACTAGCTAACTGAATCCAACAACATATCAAAAATATAATCCACCATGATCAAGTGGGTTTCATACCAGGGATGCAGGGATGGTTTAACATATGCAAGTCAATAAATGTGATACACCACATAAACAGAATTAAAAACAAAAATCACATGATCATCTCAATAGATGCAGAAAAAACATTTGACAAAATCCAGCATCACTTTACGATTAAAACTCCCAGCAAAATCAGCATACAAGGGACATATCTCAAGGTAATAAAAGCCATCTATGACAAACCCACAGTCAACATAATACTGAATGGGAAAAAGTTGAAAGCGTTCCCTCTGAGAACTGGAACAAGACAAGGATGCTCACTTTTACCACTTCTCTTCAACATAGCATTAGAACTCCTAGCCAGAGCAATCGACAAGAGAAAGAAATAAAGGGCATCCAAGTTGGTAAAGAGGAAGTCAAGCTGTTGCTGTTTGTTGATGATATGATCATTTACCTAGAAAACCCTAAAAACTCCTCCAGAATGCTCCTAAGACTCATAAAAGAATTCAGCAAAGTTTCCAGATACAAAATTAGTGTACACAAATCAGTAGCTCTTCTATACACCAACAGCGACCAAGTTGAGAATCAAATTGAGAACTCAACCCCTATTACAATAGCTGCAAAAAAATTAAAATACTGGCTGGGAGCAATGGTCATGCCTGTAATCCCAGCACTTTGGGAGGCCAAGGCAGGCAGATCACGAGGTCAGGAGATTGAGACCATCTGGCTAATATGGTGAAACTCCGTCTCTACTAAAAATACAAAAAATTAGCCGGGTGTGGTGGCACATGCCTGTAGTCCCAGCTACTTGGGAGGCTGAGGCAGGAGAATCAGTTGAACCCAGGAGGTGAAGGTTGCAGTGAGCTGAGATCATGCCACTGCATTCCAGCCTGGGTGACAGAGTAAGACTCCGTCTCAAAAAAAAGAAAAAAAAATTAAATTACTTAGGAATATACGTAACCTACTTAACCCAGGAGGTGAAAGACCTCTACAAGGAAAACTACAAAACACTGCTGAAATAAATCATAGACAACACAAACAAACGGAAACACACCCCATGCTCATGAATGGGTAGAATCAATATTGTGAAATATTGAAAATAGCATACCCATACTGCCAAAAACAATCTACAAACTCAACTCAATTCCCATCAAAATACCACCATCATTCTTCACAGACTAGAAAAAATATCCTAAAATTCATATGCAACCAAAAAAGAGCCTGCATAGCCAAAGCAAGACTAAGCAAAAGGAACAAATCTGGAGGCATCACATTACCTGATTTCAAACTGTACTATAAAGCCATAGTCACCAAAATGGCATGGTATTGGTATAAAAATAGGCACATAAACCAATAGAACCAGAAATAAGCCCAAATACTTAGAGCCAACTGATCTTCAACAAAGCAAACGAAAACATAAAGTGGGGCAAGGACACCCTATTCAACAAATGGTTTTGGGATAATTGGCAAGCCACATGTAGAAGAATGAAACTGGATCGTTGTCTCTCACCTTATGCAAAAATCAATTCAAGATGGATCAAAGACTTAAATATAAGACCTGAGACTATAAAAATTCTACAAGATAACATTGGAAAAACCCTTCTAGACATTGGCTTAGGCAAGGATTTCATGACCAAGAACCCAAAGGCAAGTGCAATAAAAACAAAGATAAATAGCTGGGACTTAATTAAACTAAAGAGTTTTTGCATGGCATAAGATCAGTCAGCAGAGTAAACAGACAATCCACAGAGTGGGAGAAAATCTTCACAATCTATATATCTGACAAAGGACTAATATCCAGAATCTGCAACAAACTCAAACAAATTAGCAAGAAAAAAAAACCATCAAAAAGTGGGCTAAGGACATGAATAGACAATTCTCAAAAGAAGATACATAAATGGCCAAGAAACATATGAAAAAATGCTCCACATCACTGATAATCAGGGAAATGCAAATCAAAACCACAATGTGATACCACCTTATGCCTGCAAGAATGACCATAATCAAAAAATCAAAAAATAATAGATGTTGATGTGGCTTCAGTGAACAGAAAACACTTCTACACTGCTGGTGGGAATGTAAACTAGTACAGCTACTATGGAAAACAGCATGGAGATTCCTTAAAGAACTAAAAGTAGAACTACTATTGATCCAGCAATCCCACTACTGGGTATCTAGCCAGAGGAAAAGAAGTCATTATACGAAAAAGATAATTGCATATGCATGTCTATTGCAGCACAATTCACAATTGCAAAAATGTGCAACCAACCCAAATGCCCATCAATCAACGAGTGGATAAAGAAATTGTGAGATATATATATATATATATATATATATATATATATATATATATATGAATATATATATGATGGAATACTACTCAGCCATTAAAAGGAATGAATTGATGGCATTCACAGAGACCTGGATGAGACTGGAGACTATTATTCTAAGTGAAGTAACTCAGGAATGGAAAACCAAACATCGTATGTTCTCACTCATAAGTGGGAGCTAAACTATGAGGATGCAAAGGCATAAGAATGGCACAATGGACTTCGGGGACTCAGGGGGAAAAGATGGAAAGGGAGTGAGGGATAAAAGACTACAAATTGTGTGCAGGTATACTGCTCGGGTGATGGGTGTGCCAAAACCTCATGAATCACCACTAAAAAACTTATGTAACCAAACACCACCTGTTCCCCAATAACCTATGGAAATTAAAAATTTAAAAAGAAATAAAAAAAAGACAAAGAAACGTGACTCCCAGTGTTGAGGTGGGGCCTAGTGGGTGGTCATGGGGGCAGATCCCTCATGAAAGGCTTGGTACCCTCTCTGTGGTAATAAGTTCTTACTCTATTGGTTCATGCAAGAGCTGGTTGTTCAAAAGAGTTGGGCACCTCTCCTCTCTCTCCTACTTCCTCTCTTGCTATGTGACACCTGCTCCCCTTTGCCTCTGCCATGAGTGGAAGCTTCCTGAGGCCTCCCCAGAAGAAGATACTGGTGCCATTCTTCCTGTACAGACTGCATAACCATAAGCCAAATAAGCCTCTTTTCTTTATAAATTACCCAGTTTCAGGTATTCCTTTATAGCAACACAAAGGACTAATACAATCCCCTCTTTCAAAATCTCTGTGTAATGTTCAGTAAAAGGTTTGCCTGAGTCATCAGTGCTTTTGAGTTGGATTAGGCCTAAATGGACTTCCCCAAATTATCCCTGGACCATTGTCAAGGACCCCTTTGTTAGGGAACAGTGGGCTAACGGGGTAAAGGAGAGGGGGGACATGGGGGAGGATATGACAGGGCCCAGAGTGCTAGGAGCATGGGATGTAGCAGGGATTATGGAAAGTGTGGTTGGATCATGAGGATGGTGGCCTTGAAAACCAGGTACAAAGCTTGGCCCCTAAGGCAGGCAGTGGGGAAGTCTTGACTTTTGGAGCAGAGGAGGGACCTGGTCCAATCTGTGCTTTGGGGAGCAAATGGACTTTGGAGCAGCCCTGGAGACAGTTGATGATGTGGCCTGTCTTAGTCCATTTGTGTTGCTATAAGGGAATACCCAAGGCTGGGTAATTGATAAAGAAAAGAATTGATATTTGGCTCATGGTTCTACAGGCTGTACAAGAATCATGGCACCAGTATCTGCTCCTGGTGAGGGCTCGGGCTGGTTCCACTTTTATTTATTTATTTATTTATTTATTTATTTATTTATTTATTTTTATTTTTTGAGACGGAGTCTTATTCTGTCGCCAGGTTGGAGTGCAGTAGTGTGATCTCGGCTCACTTCAACCTCTGCCTCCCAAGTTCAAGCCATTCTCCTGCCTCAGCCTCCCAAGTAGCTGGGACTATGGGCATGAGCCACCACGCCCAGCTATTTTTTTTTTTTTTTGGTATTTTTTAGTAGAGACGGGATTTCACCATGTTAGCCAGGATGGTCTCGATCTCTTGAATTTGTCATCTGCCCACCTCGGTTTCCCAAAGTGCTGGGATTACAGACATGAGCCACTGCGCCCAGCCTGCTTCCACTTTTAAAGGAAGGTGAAGGGGAGCTAGCATGTGCAGAGACCACAAGGTGAGAAAGGAAGCAAGAAAGAGTGGGGGAGGCTCTTTTTAACAACCGGCTCTCAAGGGAACTCTCAGGAACTAGTAGAGTGAGAATTCATGCACCCTTCCCCAGGGAGGACATTATTCATGAGGAATCCACCCCCATGACCCAAATGCCTCCCATTAAGCCCCACATCAAACATTTGGAATCAGATTTCAACATAAGATTTAGAGGGCCAAACATCCAACTATAACATTCCTTCCCTGGTCCCCCAAACCTCATGTCCTTCTCACATTGCCAAATACAATAATCTCTTCTTAACAGTTCCCAAAAGTCTTAACTTGTTCCAGCACCAACTCAAAAGTCCGAGATCCAAAGTCTCATTTTAGACTCAAGGCAAGTTCCTTACAGCTGTGAGCCTGTAAAATCAAAAACAAGTTATTTGCTTCCAAGATACAATGGCGATACAGGCATTGGGTAAACATTCTCAATTCCAAAACGGAGAAATTGGCCAAAAGAGAGGGGTAACAGGCCCCACACAAGTCTGAAACTCAGCAGGGCAGACATTCAGTCTTAAAGCTCCAGAATGATCTCCCTTGCCTCCATGTCTCACATTCTGGGCATACTGGTGTGAAGGGTGGGCTCCTAAGGCCTTGGGCAGCCATGTGAGCTATGCCCAGCAAAGCCACAGGGGTGGGGAGTTGAATGCCTGTGGCTTTTCCAGGCTGGGGTTGCATTCTCCCGGTGGCTCTACCATTCTGCTCTCTGGAGGATGGTGGCCCTGCTCCCACAGCTCCACCAGGCAGTGCCCCGTAGAGACTCTGTGCAGGGGTTCCAACCCCACATTTCCACTGGGCACTGCCTAAACAGAGTCTCTCTGTGGGGGCTCCACCCCTGTGACAGGCATCTGCCTGGGCACTCAGGCTTTCTGGTGCATCCTCTGAAATCTAGGTCAAAGGTGCCAAGCCTCCACCACTTTTGCCTTCTGGGCACCTGACACTTAACACCACATGAAGGCCATAGAGACTTATGGCTTGTGCCCTCTTCTGTGCAAAAAGGGCTCTGCCTTCATGTAGCTCTCTCTCTCTCTCAGAACAAAGGAAATGTTTTCTGGAAGCCACCAACAATCTTCTGGAGTGGCATTGGGCAGTTGTGGGTCACACACACACCCATAGACCAGGCCCTGGCAGAGGGCACAGAAGGGCTGTCTGCTTTAGACCATGGCAACTTGTTCCCTGGGCTGGACGCACTGCCATGGCAACTTGTTCCCTGGGCTGGACGCACTGCCTCACAAAACCAGCCCTGCCCACACCTTTATCCAAGCCCCTCCAAGTACCCCATTTGAGCAGCCATCTGTTTCCTGACAGGACCAGGCTGTGACAGGGTTGCTGCGTGTGCAGTGTGAGTATGCTGCATCTGTGTCAGGGCGTATGTGTGTGCAGTGCATCAATGTGAATAAAGCATGTGCGTGTGTGTGTGTGTGAGAGTGTGAATTGCAGAAAGGGAGAGAGTGAGTCCAGACAACGAAGCTACTTGGTCCATTGTTCCCAGTCCCCATGCTCTGTTCCCACCTGCTCTCCCTCCATCCAGGAAATTCCTCGTGTGAACAAAGCCTCCAGATGGAATGAATCAGCTGAAAAGCATAAGTGGCTCAAGCAGAAAGTCAGGATCAGCCTCCTTGGCCCCAGTTTCCCTTTTTTTTTTTTTTTTTTTTTTTTTTTTTTTTTTTTTTTGCTTTTCAGAGTTTTAAGCTTCAGCTTTAGCCCTGGTTTTAACCATTCAGCCAAGTGGATGTCTGCTCAGCCGGCCAAACAGCCCCAGCAGCTTCCCCTGGGGCTGTGCCACAGGAAGGTGGTCCCTTATCACAGCTCTCCTGAGCGGAGCTGGCTGGAGTGGGAGAGGCAGAGGACATGGATGCCCAAGGATAGCAGGGTAAAAAGAGAACATTTGGCGCAGCAAAGCCAAATGGGCCACAGAACTCTCAGCGAGGGGGGCTGAGGTTGCTCAGAGCAGAGCTTGTTCAGCCTGCATCCCATTTCCTCTCACTAGTCTTCCTACACACACGCACACACACACCCAGACACCTGCACACACACACACACCCAGACACCTGCACACACACACACACCTGCACGCAGAGCTGTGATCTGAAAGGCAGCCCAGACTCAGGTGGAGGCTGGGCTTCCTGATTTGTCTCAAACAAAGGCTTGTGCCTGCTCCCAGGAGCTGTCTGCTTGGAGCCCTGGGGCTCTGCAGCATGCTCAGAGCCAGTCCAGGCGTGGGCAACCACAGCCAGGCAAGAGCTCACAGCCTGAGCTCTGGAGCAGCCCAGAGCACTGTCAGAACTCACAGGGGCTGGGAACGGCAGGGGCTGAGGCCGGACGAGCCATTGGTCCTGCTTAGAGCAGAGAGGGCATCAAGGAAAGCTTGTGAGATACATACATACATACATATATATATACATACACACATATGTAACATATATATAATATATATATTTTAATCTCTGCATTCCTCAGTTTCACCATCTGTAAAATCGGGATAATAATGGTACCTGCTTATAGGATTGACATGGGATTGTATGAATTAATACATGTAATGGATTTAGAATAATACCTGGCAAAGAGGAAATGAAACCAAGGGGTTAATTTGATCGGGGCTGCCTGGCCCGCTTGCTTTTGGCCACTCACTCACTTTTTGTTATTTTTTTTTTCATTTTTCCATGAAGCTAAAGTCTGTGGTAGCCGAAGGCCTCACCACTGAATGCTGAAACTTAACCTTCACTGGCTACTTTATAGATAACATTCATCGGTCACCAAGGTCATAGTCACTTCCATTGTTTTTCAGGAACTTGGGGCAGCTCCTGTCCAGTTCAAACCAGTTGAGACCACTGACCCTTCAACTGGGCCTGCACAAGTGCCTGAGAGGTGGCTTTTTGACATCGGAGAGCCAAAACCTACCCCCTCAGGTCATGCTACCACTGCTGTTTTCTGTACACATGTCCTATGAAATACCATGAACCCCGACTGCACTTGTGCAGAATGAATGTGTTGCTTCATTTCCCCACTGCCAATCACCTTTTCCCCCAAGCCTTAGAGAACCCCGCTCCCCTAACCTGTAAATACCCCTAAGCCTTATCTTCCAGCAGGAGGATTTGAGGGCTGTTCTCCCACCTCCTCACTTGGCGCCCTTGAGGGAAATAACTCTCTTCTCTTTTGCAAAATTTGTCACAGTGATTGATTTACTGCAAGCGTGCAGAATGAGCCTGGACCCGGCCAGCCACAGAAACACTCAAGTATCAATGGTTATTATTATGATATACAGCATTCCAAGGAACCTGGCACGTTGGATATTTCCATCTTACACATGAGGAAACTGAGGCTCAGACAGGGCATGTGACTTGCCTGAGGTCATGCAGCTAGAAGGAGGCAGAGTCAAGATTTGAAACCAGGTCCACATGGCTCAGAAGATGAAGATTTCTCCAGGACCCCGCATGGCCTGGTCATGCCTCATGGAGCATTGCCAGCTGGGCCCTTGGGTGTGGGACGTGGAGCTGGAATGGAGGCAGCCTGGTTAGTGGCCGGCCTGACCATAGCAATCAGGGCCTGAGGCCCAGGAAGGGGTATGGGCATGGGGAGGGAGAAGAGTCTCCTCCTTGGGGAGGCTTGGCACCCTGCTAGCCCAGGTCCTGAGCCCAGATGGGGAAACTGTCTGGGCACCTGGCCTGGGAAGAGCCCCCTGGGGGAGTCACTCACACACCTGCCCCCAGCTCCCAGCCCTGCAGGGGTGGCTTCAACCCAGAGCTGCTAGAATGTGAAGTTACAAGAACAGTACCCTGCCTCCTCACCACAAGACTCTGATAGTTTAAGTTTTATGAGTTCATTAAATGTGTGCACAAACTTTTAAGGAAATAACATTACACTATAATGAGAGCTATAAATTGGCACTCTTCCTCTGAGTTTTCAGTGGTCATTCTAGTTGCCTACTTGGCCAAATGGCGCAGATTGTTGAGGAAAGACCTCTGTATACCCTATGCACTTTGAGCAGTTGTTGGTGTGGCTGACCAAGGTGAGGAGCAAGGAGAGGGTCACCTCCTCTGTATTCAAGGTCACTATCAGAATCCTGCATCAGAACAGGGACCACCCCACTTGGCGGCTGGGGGACTTTTACCATCCCTCCTGTAACCTCTGTCAGCCCCACTAAACAATACCCTTTAGGTAGAAACCTTGTGTTTGCATTGCAAATAGAGCTAGAAGACTGGGTCCCCCAAAGTCCCCAAATCCCCCACAAACCACCATGGGGCTGGCACAATTTTGTGCCTGTTTGCATCTGTGTCTGGCCAGTGTCCCCTCCAAAAAAAAACTTAGCTATGGATTCCTGAAATTAAAATCCACATGCTATGCATGTCAGAGCCTGGAATGCAAAAGGAAAGGTCAGCGTTTGCTGAGAGAGAGGGTGACCTGCAGAGATGCTGCAGCATAAGTGGTCCCTGGAGGACCAGGGGCCCAAGGGGGCTGAGGAAGAGTATCAGAAGAGATGGCAACATAGCGAACCACTGTCTCTATTGTTTTTTAAAAAAAGGTATTAAATGCTTGATTGCCAAATTAGGAAAAACAATCTCAATAGATGTGCTGATAAATTGACTGAATATAGCTGAAAATGAAATTGACAATCTGAAGATTATAACAGAAGAATTATCCCAGAGCATGGCTGGATGATTTCAACTCTATGACATTCTGGGAAAGGCAAAACTATGGGGACAGAAAAAAAGATCAGTGGTTGCCATTGAGAGACTGAGTGTGGATACACTGGGTTGGCCTACAAGTCTTGGTGGGATGGGCAACAACTTCCAGCCCTAGCCGTACTCCTGCAGGCTGGGTCTTGGAACCTCACTTGTTGGACTCCCAAGTCTTCCTTGTTCTGCTTTTCATAAGAAAAGCCTTGTGTCTTTTGCTTCCCTGTGTCTTGGATAAGTGTGGGATAATCCAGGATTCACAGACTTTGTAAATGAAGAAAACTCCAGATCTTCCTCCAAGCCCAGGCTTGATATCTTTGCGGCTTAGAATTTCAGTCCTGTGTGTGACATAAACATCTTGTCTGCCAGACCTAAGAAATTCATCCACACTCCCTGGCTGCTGAATTTTCTTTCCTGAGCCTATAGATGTTCTTCGTCATAAGTTGACAAAAGAGGTGCTCTGAGCCTGTGTGATAGGTTTTCCAGGCTTGCTGCCCGTTACTGTCATCTGCCAATTCATGAAGCAGTTGTATGCACCTATCCTGTGGGCGAATTTTATTTAGCCACTAATTATTGTATTCATTAAAAAGGAAGGAAGACAGGCAGGAAGAAGCACACTCAGATCTCCTCTCGGAAAATTCTCAGCTGCTCCACACATCACGTTTGAAGGATGAGAAGCACAAATAATGCTGTGAGATAAATAAATGTATAATTGAAACCACATGAAGTGGAATAATCAAGTTACTCAGCTCCCAGTGACTCCTAGTTTCTGATCTGTCTCCAGATATCAGAACTTGCAGAAACCGGTTGCACCTCCAATAACTACTACTCTGCAGCTTTTACCAGCAGACAATACCTTTGCCGTGGAGGAATAAAATGCATTCTTATAGGTTACGTGGTTTCTGCAAGTGAATAGTAACCAAATCTGAGAGGCCAATGTGCCGGCCCCAGTTTTATGGGACCTTGATGGAGTTCCTGGGAGGAGAAGGAAAGAAGCTGTGGGCTGCCGAGGGCCCCATGCTGCCCCTGCTTCCCTCCTGCAGGCATCCTTCTCACCTTCCTGCCCTCTCTCACTCCATCCCATCTCCCTCCAGTGCCTCTCCCCACTTCCAGTTCTGCATCCCTCCTGCCCACTCACTAACATGAGGGCTCCCCCAGGTCACAGCTTCCCTGGGCCTTAGTTTCTGTAAAATAGGGATAATTAAGGTAGAGAATCTACAGAGAATCAGAGGCAGATGTGAGGCTTCAATGAGTTCCAGCTGCAAAGCGCTTAGCTTTGTTAGTTTCTATGGTTCCCTTTTAGGAGGATGCCTTCGGAGCCTCTCACACTTCCGAAGCCTCACCCTGCCTTCGGCCCATGGTGAGTTTTAGTCGTGCCCCCAGGACATTCCTTAAGAGCAGCGTTGGGTTCTCCTGTCCCTCTTCATCCCTGCATCCACAGCAGGCATTTCTGCCCGGCTTTATAGTTCATAGAGTGTGTTCTTATTCATTGCCTTGTAATCTGTGTCATCCTCCTTATTTTAAGAGGAAATCAAGACCTGGAGGTGGAGGCACCGAGCTGGAACACAGCTCCCCTGGGAACCACTCTGGGCAGGACTGGCCGGCCCTGGAGGTGCTGGGTCCCTGTGGGTGGCCGACTGACAGTGCCTGGGAGGCACGTGCCCCGTCCCCGTCGCCTGCGCGGGTCAGTGGGCAGCCCAGGCCAGATCCTCTGAAAGGAGACCTCGCATTGTCTGTTTCCCAAGAAGCCGCAGTGCCACCTCGCGGCCGCCTTCAGAAGTGCATGCTGCGATCTGGCGCTCTGAGAAGCCCTGTGGGGAGGTACCTGCGTCCAGCCCAAGGGGCTGCCTGCCTGGCCCGCGAGGAAGAGCGCGTTCCTGCCGGGCCCACGCAGCTGAAAGTGGAAATGGGTTCTGTAGAATGTTTCGGCGTGCACCGAATTCGCGCAAGAATCCTCTACTGATGCCAGGCCCTGTGCCCAGGGATGGGGTGGGGGCGGTGCAGAGAAAGGACCGTGGGGTGGTGCAGAGAAAGGACCGTGGGGTCGTAGAGAGGAGTGCCAGAGGCCTTAGCTCTAAGGGGTGCGGGAATCGGAGAGGCAGAGGCCAACCAGAGGACCTCTTCGTGAGGCCAGCTGTCATGAGTGCTAGGATCCGAGCAAAGGGCCGAGTCCAGCTGCGCACACAGAGGGGCCCATCTCCTGCCACATGGTTTCCTTTCGTCCTCCCGCTTGCTCCGATTAACAGGCATCCTGCATCTTGGGCGTACAAGCTTCCCGGCCGCGCAAGTTGTTCAAGAACCCCAGAGGCAGGTGTTTCCGGGAGGCTCTAAGCCGACAGCTCTTTGAATGCCTGGCTGCTCACAGGGCCTGAGCCTCTGCCACACCCTGTTTAAGAACCCGAGGCTGCACGGCTGCTCAGGCCACCCCCAGCCAGACTCTGTCCTTCTCTTGCAGAGAGGTACACTCTGGGGCCTGGCCACCCTTCCCGCCGGGGGCCTCTCTGAGAGCCTCTGGCTCCAATAAAAGAAGGGAACAGAGTCCCAAATCCCTTTTTTCTGGCAGGCTCTTGGCCGTTGGGTGAATTTGCCACCCCCTTCTCCCTGACGTTGTGTATTAAGGATTCTTTGGAAGGGCAGACATTTCCAAGTCAGAGAAAGCGAGGGTCAATCTGCACCCTTTCTCAAAAAAAGCAGTGACGGCCTGCCTTGCATTTATACAATTTAAGGAGATTCCAGAGATAATAAGGCGAGTCTGTTCCAAGGTGACTTAAGGTCTCCATTTGCAGCCAAGGGAGCAGCTGGCATAATTCTAAGTTTCCGCCTGAGCAGGCACTTCCATTACCCTCAGAACCTCCATGCTTGGTTTCTGGAAAGATCAACTTCAGCAAAGAAGCGGGCGCGGGTGGGGAGCTAGCTCTTCCTTCCCTTGACAGCCTCAGTTGGAGACCTCGGCTGCCACCACGTGCCACAGTGGGAGAGTTTCCCGTCCAATGCTCTGCTCCAGCGATGTACTGGATTCCAGCCTGGGACCACCCAGAGACTTCGTTATATGTGGAATATAGGGAAATGAACACGGCAATGTCTGCACCACACAGAAGGTCTAGATTTCTCATCTGGAAAATGGTCCATTTCTGCCCGGGTCACAGAGGAAAAAAAGATCTGGCTGGGTGCAGTGGCTCATGCTTATAATCCTAGTGCTTTGGGAGGCTGAGACAGAAGGATGGCTTAAGGCCAGGGGTTCTAGACCAGTCTAGGCAACATAGTGAGACCCTGTCTCTACAAAAAAAGAATCAGACAGTTGCAGTAGCATGTACCTGTAGTTCTAGCTACTTGGAAGGCTGAGGTGGGAAGATTGCTTGAGCCCAGGAGTTTGAGGCACCAACGAGCTGTGATTGCATCACTGCACTCCAGGCTGGACAACAGAGTGAGACTCTGTCTTGAACAAAAATAAAGGAAAGAAAAGAAAAGAGATCCCACGTGGTAAGAGAAGTAACTTTTTGCTACCTTTAAAAAATCCTTATTTTCCGTCCCCATGGTAGGTTGTTTACAACAGTGGCCATGGTTTTGCAGCCCTCCTTGCATATGTGTCCTCAGCCCGGTGACTGTGCAGTAACTCCTGAGAAGATGCAGAGTGCATTTCTCAGCCCTTGGATCTGAGCTGGCCTGTGACTCACTTTGGTGCACAGAATGTGGCAGAAGTAAGGGGATTCAGGTTCTGAGGCTAGGCTGTAACAGCCATTGCATGCTTCCTCTTCCTTTCAGATCTCTGGGCTAGCCTGCTAGCCACTCAGAAAGATACCACTCAGCAGCAGCGGAGCCATCCCAGATGCTGATGTGTAGCTGATACCCAAGTGAGCCCTGCTGAGTCCGGCTCAGATGATCAGAAGCATCCTGCCAGCCCACAGACTCATGAGCAGTACTACACGGTTGTTATTTGAACCTACTGAGCCTTGGGGTGTTTTGTCACACAGCAACAGCTAACTGGTACCCCTGCTCACCTCCTTTCTTCTGCTTCTTCCTTCATTCTTCTGTTCCTGGACCTGATCAAGGTCATCCATCTGGGTAGTTACATGTCTGTGGGTTATTTCTCCACCATCTGCCCTTGGGGGCTGGGTGTTGGGAAGGCAGCCTGCTGGAAAGTCACCCTTGCAGACCCTGGAAATAAGCTGAGGATAGGCTCTGCTGGGCAAACTCCCCCCACCAAGGAGGAGAGGCTGCTCTATAGTCTCTGGTTTGTTCCTGGACAATTCGCTCCTTCTCTTTGGATCAGTCACTCTCTAACTGCTATTTGGCTGTCACCCAAGGACTGCTACTCCTTATCCTTCTGGGATGGACTCACTTTCTTCTTGGAGCCCTTCCTCAAGGTGCATCCCCTTTTTGGTGGAGAGAAACCCCAAATAATTTCTCAAAATGTGTGCAAGGTCAACCTTGAGTCCTTTCAGATCTGAAAAGATCTATTTGCCTTTAAACATTGGCTTGTCCTAGATGTATAGGTTCAAAATTCCTTTCCCCCAGAAATTTGGAGACAGTCCTCACTTTCTTCTGGCAGCCTGAGTACCTGATGAGGCAGCTGATGCCAAAATGTCCCTTCCCTGCATCCACCTATTTTGGAAGCTTGTAGGATATTTCCACTATTCTTGATATTCTGGAATTTTGTGCTGATGTCCCATGGGCCTTTTTTTATTCATTATGCTGGGCATTTGAGTTCCCTTCAAACTGAAGACCCAGGTGCTTCAGTTCTGGGAAATTGTCTTCTATTATTATATTATTATTTTACTATTTATGCCCCTTTCTCTCTGTCCTCTATTTTTGAGTCTATTAGGCATTTCAACCTCATGGATTGATTTTCTTGGTTTCTTATATTTTCTCTCATTTTTTAAAACCTTTTTACCTAATTGTCCCATACTGTGGGAAATTTTATTATACATATAGAGATAGATATATATGCACATGTGTGTATACAAATAAATGTGTATATGTATTTTTTTCAAATATTACTATAATATTACAAGTAACAGAAAAATGCAACATAAGATGCTTAAATATGTATATACATACACACACACACACACACACACACACATATACACACACACATTTTGACAATAATACTTCAAATTTACAAGAGTTATTTTCTGGCTTTGTAATTGCTTCTTCTCCATAGCATCCTATTCTTGTTTTATGTATTCAATATCTTCTTTTTTCACAGCTTCAAGATACAATTCACATACCATACAATTCACCCATTGAAAGTGTACAACTCAATGGCTTTTAGCATATTCGCAGAAAGGTGCATCAATCACCACAATCAATTTTAGAACATTTATATTACTCAAAATGATGAACTCTATAACCCCTTGCCATCACTTCCCATTCTCCCCCTCCCTATTTTCTCACCCCTCCAACACCGCCAGCCCAAGGCAACCATGAATCTGCTTCTGTTGCAATATGTTCTTGGCTTTATCATCTGATTTCTTGTACCTGTCTTCAATTAATCAAGAACTTCTAAGACATAAAAGGTGACTAACTAGGCCATATCCTATCCTAAGAGATATATATAGAAGAAAAAGACAAATTTACATTGAGAAGCATAGAAAAAGATAGGTATGCAAATACCAACAAAAGAAAGTAGATTTGGCCATGGTAGTATTTAGAAAAAAATAAAATTTAAGGACTAAAGTGTTAATTAACTAGGACAAAGAATAATATTTTATGAAAAAATATAATTCATTAAGACATTGTGAGTCATGAATTTTTCTTCACCTAATATTAGAACCTTGAAATATATTTATTTGTTAAGATGCTTTGGTTGCAAGTAACAGAAAAATGCAACTCAAGCTGGCTTACATAATTAAGGGAATTCAATGGACCACAAAAGTCCAAAGATAGAGCAGCTGTCAGGTGAGTCTGATCCAGTGGCTGAATGACATTCCCAGAGACCCGGTTTCCTTATTTTTCTCATGCTTGCTTTCAGGCAGGGCATTAATTTCATCTTCTGCAGTCTCTCCTCATGATCAGAGGATGGCTGATGAAGCAACTGGAGTCAAACATTTCCCTATTAGCATGTAGTCTGAGAGATATCTCTCATTTCAATCAATAAAAAACAATTCCTGGGCTAAATCTTCATGGACAAAATTAGGTCATATGACCATGGCTGAACTAATCAATGTGGCCAGCCAAGGGGATGAGAGGGACTGGTTGACTTAGATTTGGCTTATGTACAAAATTTTGAAATAAATTGGAATAAAGGGGAGAAATTCTTCAATTATCCAAGATTATGATAGCTCATTGTGGTGTGAAAAGACTCAATAATATCCCAAACACTTGGAAATGATGTAATATAGAAGAGGTGGAACAAATTCTGAGGAAGCCAACCACATTGTCCAAAACATATATGAGTAAATAGATTGAACAATTAACAAATCTGTAACCATAGTGGTAGATTTTTAACACACCCCTCTTAGAAATTGACATATAAAGGAAACAAGAAATAAGTACGGGCTCTGCAATGTAAATGACACAATTTCAAGCTTCTACTTTGTATGCAACATGTTGAAAATGCACATTCTTTTCAAACAGTTAAGAAGCATTGGCAGAAAATGATAATTGCTGTTAAACTGTGAAGAAGATCTTAATAATTTATAAATAGAAATCAGAGAATCCATGTTTTTGGTCTATACGATAATAAATTTGAAAATTCCCAATAAAGTGTAGCATCAACAGTGACAAAAAAAACTATCCCTTTAAAATATTTAAACATACCTCCTAAATAACTGTTGCATTAAAGAGAAAATTAAAACCAATCTAATTTTTAAAAACTGATTTTCAATTTTTGATTAAAAATTGAAAACTATTTAGAAATAAATGACAATGATAGCCAACCATCACAACTGCTATGGGGAGCCAAATCCGTGTTTAGAGGAAAATTCATAGCTTTAAGATGTATTTATCATGGGCACAAAAAGAAAAAAGAACTTGTAGTTAAAGATGATGAAGTAAAGTCAATTCTATTTTCTTCCTTCCCTCAAAATCCACCAAAACCAATACAATATTGTACAGTGTTCATTCTGGAAAAAGTACTATCACCAGAGGTAAATGAGCCAGGATTTAAGTCTCAGTTATCCTCCTTACCATTTTTGTGACTTTGGACAAATCACATTCTGTTCCTCATCCTTGCTTTCCTCATCTGTGAGATGGAGACATTAATCTCCACTTTATAGGGCTGTTAAGAGGAATAAATAATGAGATATTATCCAAATACTTGAGTGCTTACCATAGGCCAGATGCTGTCCTAAGCAGTTTATGTGAATTAGCTCATTTAAAATTCATACCAAAACTTTAAGGTAGGAGTTTAACAAGGTATTAGTCTTATACAAACATTGGCTAAGACAACCAACTAGTGAGTAGTGGAGCTGGATTTCGAAGCCAGGGTGTCTGGTCTTAGAGCTTGTGCTTCTTTTTATCTTAATTAGAACACAGATTTTCCTAAGAACTGTGTCATGGTTCTGAAAGGCCCATCCAGTGGTTCTGTGATGGATCAACCAGCTCTAAGGGCAAGAGCAGGATGCAGAGAAAAACAAGGAATACCCAGGAAGTGGGAGAAGCTGAATGGGAAATATGGTCTCACTCTCAATGATCCAGCCTCTGGCAGAGGAGACTACAGAGGGTGAGGACGGGAGAAGAAGCAATGACAACTGAGCTCCAGCATGCAAAGGCTCATAATATACAAGCTTGATGACTGTTAACCTCTTGAATTTTGAGAACTAAGGTTAGATGCCTGCCTGGGGCCAAGGAGATAACAGATTTGGTGAAAGGTATTGAGGACAGGCTTAGTCCAGTCTGCTATAACAAATTACTACAGGCGCGCCAAACAAAGTCGTGGCAGTGATCGAGGAGGCCATAGCGCGGCCTCAGGCTCTGGTGTCTCCCAGTCTGCTAAAGCCCAAGGCTGTCACCATGGACTTCCAGCATCGCACTGGGGGCAAGACCAGGAGCAGGGGCATGGCCTCCTCTGAGAGCAATCATGACCGCAGGGAACACCTCTGGCAGCTGGCCCTGGAGACCATCGACATCAATAAGGACCCATACTTAATGAAAAACCACCTGGGCCCCTAAGAATGCAAGTGCTGCCTGATGCTTCTCAACAAGAAGGGGAGCTATCTGGCACATACCCAGGGGAAGAAGCACCAGACCAACCTGGCCTGGCGAGCAGCCAAGGAGGCTAAGGAGGTGGCATCATGCTGTGCCACTGCTTCATGTCTGCATACGAACAGAGGATCAAGCCCCTGGACCAGTGCTGGCATGACTTGCTGATGGCTGCCGAGCCCTACGAGACCATCACCTTCAAGGTGCCGAGCAGGGAGATCAACAAGGTGGAAGGCACATTCTGGACACACTGGAACCAGGAGACCAAGCAGTTCTTCCTCCAGTTCCACTTTAAGATGGAGAAGCCCCAGCCTCTCCACTGGACCCCTGGGGTGAAGCGACCTCCACCCCTGCTGATGAACGATCTGCCCCCTTGGCCGCCGCTGTCTGAGTCTTTGCCACTGCCCCTTCCAGGAGGTCTGCCTCTGCCACCCATGTCCCCCACAGGGCCTGCACCCTCAGGGCCCCTGGGACCACCTCAGCTGCCCCCACCAGCTCCAGGGGTCCGCCCCCCAGCCCCAGTGGTGCAATCCCACATCTGGGGTCCATCCTCCAGCCCCCGGGGTTCACCCATCAGCCCCCGGAGTCCACCCACCAGCTCATGGGGTTCACCCACCAGCCCCAGGGGTCCATCCTCCCCTATCAGTGGGGGTTCACCCCCAGGCCCCAGGGGTGCACCCAGCAGCCCCTGCCATTCACATTCACCCTGGGAATGCACCCACCAGACCCAGGGATGTAACCTCAGGCCCTGGGGGTCCACCCCCAATCTCCTGGGGTCCATCCGTCAGTTCCTGGGGTCCATCTTCAGCCTCCTGGAGTTTACCCCTCAAATCCTGGGTACACCCCCCAACTCCCATGCCTCCAATGCTGAGGCCCCCCTCCCCTCCAAAGGCGCAGGGAACATACGTCCCCCTCCCCCAACCAACTGAGAAGCTTCTCCCTCCCCAAGCAAGCCCTGCCCCAGGTGCTCCTGCCTTTTCCATGGAGAGAATTACAGATATATTAAATATGAAACTAAAGGAAATCCAACATATAATTCATTTTCCTGAAAAAGAAGAAAGAATAAGTAAAATGAAAACAATATGTGAAGATGTAATCAAAGAAAATTATTTTAAAGATATACCTGAATTTGCAAATCAGACATAGCTGGATGAAGTTTCCAAATGTCAAGGGTAAATTTTTAAAAAGATAGTTTCTATACCAAAAAAAAGCAGTTCCTGGTATGTGGTTGTCTTAAAGATATGCACACAACTTCTTTCTGTTCTTCTGTGCCTGAGGTGATGCTTACTTCCTCTCCCCTTGAATGTGGGCTGGACTTAATGGCTCATCTGTAGGTGACAGAAGACAGCAGGAAGTGACAGTGACGGTATGTCATTTCTGAAGTTAGGTTATAAAAAGATGTGGATTCTAGCATGAGTTCTCTCTCTCTCTCTCCAGTCACTCATCAAGGGAGTAACTTGCCATCAAAACCTTCAAAAAGCCCATGTCACAAGGACTTGAGTGGGCCTGGAAGAAAATCCATCAGCCCTGGGTGAGCCTCAGGTAGCTGCAGCCCCATTCGTCAGCTTAGCCGCAACCTCACAGAGACTCCAAGCCGTAATCATCTAGCTAACCTGTTTCCAGATTTCTGACCCACAGAAACTGTGGGATAGTAAGTATGTGTTGTTTTTAGCTGCCCAGTTTTGGGAAAAACTGTTCTGCAGCAATAAATAGCTAATACACAATACTAGGTGGGAACTTGTTCTCAGAATTGTCCATATCTACACCCCATTCCAGAAGAGAGAGAGGGAAATCTACAAACTCAGAATGAAAGTATGAACAAGAATGTTACAGTTAGCTAAACTGTTCATATATATGTATGTAACAGGCAGACCTTCTCAAGCATGAAAAAGCTCAGGGCAGACAACAACCATGATCCTTTTTGAAAAAAATTTACTTGGAACAATTCAAACAAAGCAACAAAGAAGTGATTAAAATATTAAAATTCATAAATGCAAAAGCCATGAGAAGGTTAGTGTTTGACATCAAATCTACTTAAATATTCACTTAAATAAGTAAGACTAAATTGTGAGAAGTATGGTTACCAAGCAGAATACTAATATTATAGAGGCTGACAATGTAAAAAAAAAAATGATAAAATGTACAAAATCATGAGTGAGAAGGAGGAGAGGTAGGAGAAAGTATAAGTGTTCTAATTTCTTTATTTTTCTTACCAGGAAGTGAAAACATACAGTTGAAAATTGGAACTTGTTAATAATAATGACTTTAATTTCATTGTTTCATAATCATGTTTTTTAAAAGAGATCTTTGAGGAACTAACATCTTTTTTGAAAAAAAAAGTAGTCTGAAAATTTTGAATAAATAATTCCTACAGTTTTACTTTAGCCTTTTTTCTTAAAATTTCATTTATGTTTTATTTTATAATTAGCATGACCATATTTTGTAAAATAGTTTCTCTCTATATCCTATCTATTTAAATGTTTAGAGAGATATCTGGAATAAAGATCATCATACATTGACAATAAATCATTATTGCAAGACTCTGAGATGATCATTATCTTATATTTTGCTTTGTCTCCTTCAACTTTTTTTTTTTTTTTTTTGAGATGGAGTCCTGCTCTGTCGCCCAGGGTGGAGTGCACTGGTGTGATCTCAGCTCACTGAAACCTCCACATCCCAGGTTCAAGCGATTCTCTTGCCTCAGCCTCCAGAGTAGTTGGGATTATAGGCCACTGCCACTATGCCTGGTTAATTTTTTTTTGTATTTTTAGTAGAGACGGGGTTTTGCCATATTGACCAGGCTGGTCTCGAACTCCTGACCTCAGGTGATCCACCTACCTTGGCCTCCCAACCCTTCAACTTTTATATGTTGCTTGAGTTATTTGAAAAAAAGACGAGCATGTATTATTTTTGAGTTAATGTTTATTTTATAAAAGGAAACAGGAGATAAGTTGAATATTCAATTTAAGGAATAGGAAAAAATGCAAAATGACTCCAAGAAAATAAAACAAAGGAACTAACAAAGGTAAAAGTATAAATTTGTGAATTAGAAAGCAAAAGTGAATTTGATCAATCAAATAAAAAACTTCCTTTGAAAAGGATCAGTAATATAGACAACTCTATGGTAAAAACTGATGTAGATATAAAGAGGAAAGACACAAATAACTAACAATAGGTAGAGGTCAGGTGCAGTGGTTCACACCTGTAATCCTAACACTTTGGGAGGCTGAGATGGGAGGATCACTTGAGGCCAGGAGTTTGAGATCAGCATGAGGCAAAATAGTGAGATCCCGTCTCTACAAAAAATTTAAAGAATAGCCAAGTATGATGGCACAAACCTGTAGTCCCAGCTATTTGGGAGGCTGAGCTGGGAGGATCACTTAAGACCAGGAGTTCAAGGGTGCAATGAGCTGTGATCACGCCACTATGCCCCAGCCTGGGCAATAGAGCAAGACCCTGCGGAAAAAAAAAAAAAAAAAAAAAAAGAAGAGGTCAAAGATATGATGAGAAAAGGCAGGCAGGCTCATGTTTGTGCAGCCTAATGGGAGTTCCTTCAAGGAGCCTGGAAACACAGGCCTCTCCCTCCGTGCCCAGTGAGGGAAAATTTTACCTGCCAGGATGTGAGCTCAGAGGGCAGCATGTACAACTCCAGCACCAGGATCTTCCTCAGGGTAACTGTGCCAGGACTGAGCCTGGGCAAGGCACCACCTAACTGCTCCTTCCTCTCACAGAGATATCCTGCTCCTCACTGCCACCATCTCAGAACAAACCCGGTTCCACCTCCCAGGCTCCTCTAGCTGGCTCTGTCTGGCCACGTTCTTGCAGGATCCACATATACACACACAGGGGCCTGGCGAGGAGCTCAGTCCAGCAGATGATCAGCCTCATGACATCAGCTCAGATCTGATCCTGGGACGCCCAGGTTCTCCAAGGCCCTGGTGACTCCCCAAGCCTGTGGCGATAGCACTTACCTGGGAACTCCAGGCCCCTTCTCTGCAAGACCTCTGATGTGTCCACCACCTGTGTAAGTCCCCTCTCTCAGGCCCCTCAGGGCTGCTGCCTCCTCGGCCTCCCAGCCTGGCTCAGGGGCAGTCACTCGCTGGCAGGTAAAACTGTTCCCTGAGCTCCCCACTGGCCTCTGATCAGACCAGGTGGACACCCCTCGGGCCTGGGTCCTGGGCCCATGGCTAATATCATCTGAACTAACATGTGATTGTCCAAGAGGAAACTGGTCTGACTCCCTCCCTCCCAGCTCCTCCCCACCTCAGGGGCATCAGCAGGCAGCAGCCCCTGCGGCCCCTGCCCCGCAGGCTTCACTTGAGGACTGGACAAGGCAATATTGGAAAGTGCGCAAGGGCGCCTCAGCCTCTGTTGGGTGTTCTGTGCATGTTTGTTAAATAAACACAGATGATTATATTAATGGCCACTGGGACACAGTGAGTGCCAGACTCTCCCTGTGTGAAGGGGCACCCCAGACCCTAAGTTCAGAATTCCTTGCTACTTTTGCAACACATCAAGTGAGTTCCCACCTCCAGGCCTTTGCCAGTCCCTCCCATCCTGAAACACGACTCCTCTGTGAAGCCTTCGTTCGGCCCCAGCTCTGGGCTCCCACAGCACCCAACGCACATGGATGCCCATCCCACTGCAATGAGCTGCTGTCACCCCCCCCGAAGACTGAGAGCTTCTCAGGGCTGGGTCTCACAGACATGATACCCTCAGCAAAGGCACACAGGCCCCGCCCTGCTTGCATCTCACAATGTGCATCTGGAAAACACTGGGCCAACCCGCGCAAGCCAGGGGTCTTCACGACAGGATGTCCCACAGCCTTCAGTGTGTGTAGGTCCCCAGAGCAATGCTGGGTTTTGCAGTGTGTCCCCGCAACTGCTTTGTTTTGGGATACCTGTTAACAAGTCTCACTGCCTGTGTTCCATTAGAGCAATCTAGGAGAGTCCCCAGGCACTGGGGACAGGACCCTGTTCCCACTGAGTTGGGTGGGGAGGCATTCGTCCTACTCTAGATGAGCTTCGGGCAGCCTTTGGGAAAGCCCGTTCCTGGGCCTGGGCCTCTCCCCTAGCCTCTATCCCCGCTGTCTCTGGAGTGGGCAGGAAGCAACCTTTCAACCCATCCCCGGCTTGGGTCCTGTGTGCCCAAGGCCCACCTGGGCTTGAGCCTGGAGTTACAGGGGCTGGTGCCCAGTCCCATTTCCCCACTGGCTTGCTGGGCAACCCTGGTCAAGTCCCTTCCCGTTTCTGGCCTTGGTTAACACAAAGAGGGACTTAGTAGATTCTCCCTGGCACCTTCTAGCTCTGACATCTCAGGAGGAGCCAGGGCCTCTCACAGGGCTAAGGGAAGGGGAGTTTGGCCTCTGGGATAAACCAGGAGAAACTGGGGGCTGCTAGACATCATCTCAGAAAATGGTCAGAAGCTACAGATTCTGACCTCCCAGGACTTTTGTGACTTCCCCACATGGCCACTTCTGTTAGGAGAGGAACCTACCCACCCTGTCTGTGTGGTTAGCGTTTGGGAGAAGGGAGTCCCATTGAGCCTTGGGAGAGGCCAGAAAGGGCCTCTCTGGGTATGAAGGTGGGACTTCCTGTGGGACAATGTGGCAGGAACCCTCCCTGCCCCTCGGGGTGCTGGCCTGGGACAGGGGTGGGAGATGGGCTCTGGGCGGGTGGTTACCTACCTTGTGATGCTGCCCTTGGAGATCCAGGATGTCCCGCTTGGTGACAGACCAGTGGAAGGTCAGGCCTGGCATGGCATTGCCAAAGGAGAAAGGGTTCTGGTGGTTGGTGATCCAGGTGATATAGATGGACATCGGTGGGGAGAAGTCAGGCCTGGTGACCAGCGGGGTGCCAGCACTGGGAATGCCCCCAGAAGCTGTGCTGCCTCCTTCAAGCAGTGGGAGATGTATCCAATTCTTCCCCAGCTAGAGAAGGACATGGCACAAGTTTGGGAATTTTGATGAAATACCAAACAGTTAAACGAGAGGCGGGACTGTTTTCCCCACACTGTGCCTCCCCTGCCGCTGGCTGCGCCTCCCCATGGCCAAGAGACCCATTTTTGGAAGGAGTCCCTGGAGCTCTAGGAGGCTATGTGTCCCCCAGCAGCACAGCTTGCCCTGCCCCACAGTGCTGGTTCCTCCGGGCCCCTCTCTCCTAATCTAGCCGGGGTCCCTGCTCACAGAGCACCCACGGGTGGGGTCCCTGGCTCCTTCAGTCTCTATTTGCTGAGAGTCTGCTGAGGGCACACTTGGAGGCGAGAAGGCAAAAGGCCACAGCAGGTGCCACACCGGGCTGCCCAGTCCACTGCCAGTGCTGCCACTTCCTAGCTGTGTGGCCCTGGGATGAGTCTTAAGCTTTCTGTGCATTCATTTGTTCATCTGCAACATGGAGATGGTTCTGACACCAGCCTCCCAGGGCTGCTATGAACACCAAACAGATTAATGTCCGAGACAGCATGGAGTGGAGTAAGTGCCACGGTCATGGTGCTCCTGTTAGGCGCCTGGTGCTATCTGAGGTGTGGGAAGGTGACAGGCTAGCAGGAAGCAGGCCTTCATCAGTGGCTGCAAGAGGGTGTCAGTCTGGGTAGGGGTGGGTGGGAAGCTGCCACTGCACCCCTAGATACCCAGGCTGGGCAGATGGAGGAGGTGGAGAAGCACTGTAGCTCGAGGACAGGGTTATAGCAGCGGCTCTTTGGGAACCAGGATTCAGAGCCCAGGAGGTCCCCTCACCTGGGTGCCCATCCTTATCTGCATGATGGGGCTGCGGATCCTCACGGCTCCAAGCAGCAGCACCTTCACCTGAACGAGGTCCTGGGGAAAGAGCATGGTGCTCAGGTGCAGGGCACCAGAATGCTGTGCTGGCCGGGGATGTTTCTGGAAGGGACCTCTCAAGGGAAGGAGGCTGCGGCTAAGAGGCTGTGGCGAGAAGGCCCCTCAGGATGCCTAGCACCGTGCTCCTCTGCCAAGAGAGGCCTGGTTTTGTGGGCGGTTCACCCCACATGGGCCAGCCACTTCCTCTCCCACGGCCCCGCAGGTCCCAGCCCAGTGCTCTGAGGCTGCCACCCTATCTCATCCAGCTGCTTCGGGTCAGCACTTCAGACTTGGGGCCAGGGACTGGGGTCTGCTCTTCCCTAGGCCAGGCTGCCCTCAAGCGACAGGTCTTCAGACCCTCCCAAACCCAAATCCAGCTTGCCTGTGTCTGACTAAGCAGAGTACAGGGACAAATGCAGGAGTCCAGTGGAGTCTGATTAGAGCAGACCTTATAACCTCCTTCATGCTCAACTCTATACTCCTATTAATCTGGCCAAAGACTAACTCTCCTGGCTTCTTTCTAGTGCTGCTGACTCATGTGGAACTGACATGATTAAACCTCTTAGACTCTTTGCCACGCGCTCATGCTGAGCCCACATTCTGTGCCTCATGACTTGGGCTAATGCCTGGCACACAGTAGGTGCTTGATAAGCACCCATTCCCCTCCTTTCACTTATCCTTCTGCTCAGTCTCCTCCTGCTAGTCCTGGCCCACCCCACGGCCTTGGGGTGCTGGTTGTGTGAACTGGATTGGACAGATGGAACTGGAAGCATCTGACCAGAATCACATTCCAGGCAAGGACACAGGGGCTGCCGGCGAAGCCCCTGCCTGCCTGGGCTCAAGAAGATGCCTTTCAGATGGGGATGGTGATGCAGCCCCTCCACCTGCCAAGGGCCACCAGGGCCTTTCCCCAGCACCTCCCCAACCTGTCAGATGGTGGACCCAGAGGGGAGAATGCCAGCAAAGTCAGACAACAAAGAGGAGGGATACTCAGTGCCCTGTGTCCCTCTGGCTGAATTTCCAGCCAGCTGCCCTTTTAGCTACTGGAAAATGAGCCAGTTCCTGAGGCTGCAATCCTTTTTAGAGAAACAAAACAAAACAAAACAAACAAACACAAAAAAACCACAGGCCTCCTGTCTGTAAGTCACAGTACTGAATGTGATGCTCTGGGAAGCCAATCTGAACCCTGCCACGTCCCCAGGACAGATTTTAACATCCCCAAGACTTTTTCTTTGTCTTGGAAATTGACACACACTGGATCTGGGCATCCACCTCTGTGATTCAGACTTTGTGGCTTAACAAGGATACTTGGGCAGGCACGGAAAATGCTGGGAAAAGGAGTAAATCACTGAACTCAATGATGGATCAAAGTCAGCCTCTGAAAACAAGGACTTCCCTGCGCCCCCTCTAGGGCGGTGCACTCGCCAGCTCCCTGGGCTCTGTGTTTACAGGCTCTGAACTCAGGACTGCATGGACTGCTTCCAGGGGACCTAGTTCTCATGAGGAATGGGATGACTGATTCTGAAACAGGTTTCTGTCCACAGTTGCATTAAACATCACAGAAGGCTCTTCTTACAGACCAAGTTTCTGGTCCAGCTGTGAGTGGAACTCCAAAGCAGCCTTCCCTGAGATGATTCTGCAAGTCACTGCTGGCGAAGGAGGTCACGAAGAATGCAAAGGCCCCAATTTTAGCCCTGAGCCTTCGTCAGAAGGTGGAAATGGTCTCACCTCCTCTCCAGAGGACCAAAGGAGACCCACGCCTCACAACGCGGGGAAGTTGTCAGACTCTCCAGACACCGACTTTCACCTGCTTGAATCAGTCCCACCAATGTGGGGCAGGGAGACCCTCTGGGGAGAAGACGGCCCTAACTTGGCCTCCTACCTTCACTGCCAGCCCAGAAAAGCAATTAGGAAAGTCCCCCACCCTGCACAGAGACTGGGAAGATGACTTAACCTCTGCTGGTGTAGAAGATGCTAGCAGATGACCCAGGTTTTTCTCTCCACCTGGAAATACAAATCCAGGGCTGAAGTACAATTTTTTAATTCACCACACATACACCACACTACTCCGGAGACATACAATGCACCCAGAAGGCACTCTCAGCCCACAGCACCCCTTCTCTGCTATCAGCACATGCTCAAGCCCAGCTTCAAGTGACCAACAAAAGGCCCGAGAGCTCTGATGCTGGGCAGCCCTGGGCCCAATCCCAGAACTGGCACATGGTGACTGTGGTCTGCTAGCTAGTCCCTCAGTCTCCCATCATCAAAGGGGGACAGCAGGAAAATGCACAGGGCACCGAGAGGACTGAAGGACATGAAGGCAAAGTGTGCGGAGCGGCGCCTGCCCTCACCACGATTGCCATCATCCTCCACTGGAAGGGCCCTTTGGGGCCGGGGGTTGCTGAAGACCCTGTCCCGTAAGGAGCAGCTGGAAAGACTGGGAGACTCAGCCTGGAGAAGAGCAGCCTCTGGGGGTCTGGGTGCTCCCAAGTCAGCAGGGCTGTCCTGCACAGGGGGCCCTGGCAGGGACTGCAGACCCAGGGGGCAGAAGCAGCACCCTTGGAGAGAGGTGGTCCTCAGAGGTAGAACCCAAACACAGTAAAGAGGCCTTTGTCTCGGGCACAGCTGCCCTGGGAAGCAGTGGCCCATCACCACAGCTGGCTGTCCTGGGGAGTTCAGATAGTGCCAGTCTCCAATAGCACGTCTGTTACCTGAGAGATGATGACCACCTTGCCAGTCTCTGCATCCACCACCTGCACAAGCCCAGACACAGTGCCCTTCCCCATGGTGAGACCTGGTACCAGCCTGGAAGCGCTCACCAGTGCAACGTTCTAGTTGCTGATGGAGAAAAGGATGTTGGACTGAGGCTGGGGGCTGCCCTCAGAGGTGACCTGAGTGGGGAGGAAATAGCAGTGCATCAGTGCCTACTGTGCCAGGCAGCCTGTGCCTCCCCCAGATGGAGCCAGGGCCTCAGTGCTGATGGCTTCCACCTCTACACAGTCACCTCGTGCTAGGACAGAGGCAGTGCACCAGGAGCTGCGGCTGCTGTGCAGTGGGCACACTGGGGCTGGAGCATGATGTGGCTTCTCAGCTTTCACCTGCATCATGACCCGGATAAGCAGTGTCGCGTTCCTGAGAATCAGCCCGAGTGGAGGAAAAACCGGTTGAGACAGAGGAGAGAAGGAACTGCTGTGCCCTGAACCCATGACTTACACACCACATGTTTCATGAGAGGAAAACTCAGGGCACGAACATCACCCCTATGTGAGCAGTGACCTGTGGGCCCCAGGGTCCTGGGGGCTGCCTCCCAGCCACTGGCCGAGGCTCTCTGGTTCTCTGGGGCATGTTCTGCTGTTTGTGACTGTGCTCCACTTCCCCAGATGCTAAACACCATGAAAACAAGGACCTTTCATGCAGCTGAGCCTTCCCCTTGGATCAGCAATTCTCAGTGTGTGGTCGCTGACTAGCAATGCATACCCTCCAGCCACCCCGGCCCATGGAGCCAGAGGCAGCCCTGCATCTGTGTCCTAACATGCCCTCTGGAGATGCTGGTGTGGGTCAAGCTTTGCCATCCACTGCCTTTAGGACTCCCCAACTCCTTTTTCGAAGGTTACCTCCTTCCCTAAATTTCTCCCAATTTCTGCTGAAAAACACCTTAGAATCGTTCTTGTCAGTGCTCTCAAAACTTTTCAGATGAGGATCAAGGAGCTCAGCAACAAGGACTAGCCCAGGAGGAGACCAGGGATGCCGGTGCCATGCTGTGGAGGCGGTGAAGCCCCCACCTGCTCCTCCTGCATCCCCCCCAAGTGCACTCCTGGCAGGAGAAGGTGAGTGAACACAGGAGGCATCCAGGGCACTGCTTGTGTGGGAGGATTGGTCTCTGCAGTGCTGTGCTATTGCTGGTCAGAAACAAATTTCTTATTGCCAGAAGAAAGGTGCGAGTCCATCTAGAGGCACAGACAGTACCCACGTGCTTCAGATCACAGATTAATGATGCTCACCAGCCCCAGCGTGGCCCAAGCACAGGGAGGATGTTGGCAGGGCTGGTTTAATGTTGCTGCTGTAAATAGACTTGGAATGATCCCCGGGCCACGACTGCCATGGCTTGTGGCTGCAGTGCTGCTCCTGTCATAACCTAACACCCCGAGACAGCCCCACACCACATAATGAGCCCATGAGTGACCTCAGAGCTCCCCTTGTCCAGGAATCACCTACTTCAGGAGTTGCCTTTGTGACATCTCTGCTGGAGGAGGTGACCATCAGGAGGACTCACACCAATGTGACAATTGGGGAAGCTGCTCGGAGCTTCAGGTCCATGAATGGGAAGTATTTGGCCAGAAGGGGATTCTTGTGCAAGTCCAGCATGCGGATGTTTGCCTTCACTGTCTTCCCAATCTCCGCCTGCATCGTGCAGACAGAGGCTCAGGGATGGCCTCTGAGAGACCAATCTCACCATCTATGGTGCCCCATGACTTTCTGAGATACTAATAGCATCACCAACCTCAACCCACAGACCTGGGAATCAGGGATGAGTCACCCAGGTTTACCTCTGGACTATCAGCCAGTCAGCAAATGAAAATTGATGAAGCGCTTATTCCAAGGGGTGGGTCAGGGGAGGGTGGCTGGGGATACTTACAGGCATAAGTTCCACTCCCTACTCTTAAATAACAATACACTAATTAGGGAGATGAGACACTGCTTAGAACAGCAGCAGGCATCCAGTAGGAGTTCAGTAAATGCTCACTGACTGAATAGCTCACACCTGGCAGTGTAGAATATGATAAGAACCTTAGGAAATGAGAGTCAGAAATACACAGTGAAGAAACAGAAAATTAGCAAACAGCAGTGGAAATGAGATTATAGGAGGAGTATGTGAGGCTGGATAGAGCATATTAGCTTCTTAAGGAGCCTAAGATGCCCTTTTAATTACCAGCCCTTCTATCCACTCAGGATCCCGACCACAACCCTCTGGAAGCCCAGCTTCAGTCACCTCAGATATTTGGAGTAATAAAATTTCGCTATTGACGTGAAAGATAAAACGAGATCTATTCCTTTTCCTTTTTTGCAATGGTGCTTGGCGTGGGTGAGCTGTACTCATTTGTCACTGAAACTCCAGAGAACCCAAAACCTGTATTTTCAGGGGGAAATCCATGCTCAGCAAGACATGTGCCTGGCTGGTTAATAACCTACACCAGCTAAAAGACAAGAATTCCCAGGTCACAGCTAATTTAGAGGCAACTTCCAGCAGGATTTACTGCCAAGCCTCATGGGGATGTCACCTGGGATGAAGAAGTTCCTTACTGGAGGGACTCTGCATCCTTAACATAGAGCGAAGGAGATAGAAGACAGCTTTGCAAGCTCACAGGGGAAGGGATGCAGACCCCAGGAGCAAAAGTGAAGGCCATAGGAAACATCCCACAGCCGCCTCACTCTCCGTTCCTGCAGGTCTGCTGAGGGGGCCCCATCATGAAGCTTCCACTGACCTTATCAATCACACAGATGTACAGCTCCTGAATGTCTGACACGTAAACGACAGCCTTGGCCAGGGCCGGGAAGATGAGGCACAAGTCATAGGTCATGATGCTGGTCGAGCCAGGGAGCAAAGGGTATACCTGCAAGGTTCGGGGCTGGGGTAGAGGGGTGGGTGGTGGATTACGTGGCTGCAGAGCCCCCCCTCTGCTCAGGTCCGTGAGCAATGCCTCACCCTCAGCACCAGCCTATCACCTCACTGGCAGAGCCCTCCAGGCCAGCACTAGAAAGCAGTGGACAAGGGAAATCCTACCCCAAATAGTGCCCTGCCCACCTCTCATCACAAGCCCCACTGCTGGCCAGGAGCAGGGATTGGGATATAACATGTCAGTGCTCAGCTAGATCTCACCGAACATTGATCTCCAATTTGCACATTTTACAAAGGGAAGAAAATGGAAGCTGATCAAAGAGGGGCAGTCAGCAACCTTGGGATGTGCAGGAACTTGGGGACAGAGTGAGAATGCAGTCCCAGGATGCCACGTCCTGAGCTGGCCACCTGCCGCTGCAGCCCTGGCGGTAGAGAAGCACCCCGTGAGGTCTTCTGTGAAACTGCAAGACAGGGACTGGCAGAAAACGAGACAGCTACTTTTCAGCGGCAGCTCTCCCTGAGAAGTCCCAATCAGAACGGACTGAATCACAGAACCTGGGAGCAGCCTGCAAGGCCACCCCAGTGTGAGCTCCGTGCATCTCGCTCAACTCTGTGTCTGATCAACAGCCCCAGCTCTGTGTGAAGCACTGACTGCTAAGGTGTGAGTGAATGAACAAACCAGAGCTAGAGTTTTCCAGCCTTTTCACTGCCAAAGACCCTTTTAACATTTATTTATTATTTTTTTAAGAGACAGGGTCTTGCTCTGTCTCTGAGGCTGGAGTGCAGTGGTAGGACCATAGCTCACTGCAGCCTCAAACTCCTGGACTCAAGCCATCCTCCCAACTCAGCCTCCAGAGCAGCAGCTGGGATGACAGGTGTATGCCACTGTGGCTAGAATAGATCCTTGTTTTTATTTTTTTATTTCATTTTTTTAGAGACAGGATCTAGCTCCATCACTCAGGCTGGAGTGCAGTGGGATCATCACAGCACACTGCAACCTCGAACTCCTGGGCTCAAGGCAAGAGCCCCATTATTTTTTATTTTTTATTTTTTTTGGAGATGCAGTCTTGCTCTTTCACCCAGGCTGGAGTCCAGTGGCACGATCTCGGCTCACTGCAACTGCTGCCTCCCGGGTTCAAGCAATTCTCCTGCCCCAGCCTCCCGAGTAGCTGGGACCACGCCCAGTTAATTTTTTGTATTTTAGTAGAAACAGGGTTTCACCGTGTTGCCCAGGCTGGTCTTGAACTACTGAGCTCGGGCAATCCACCCACTCTGGCCTAAGAGCCCTCACTTTAATCCTTTTCTGTTTACACACTTTGTTTTTTGAGACGGAGTCTCCTCTGTCGCCCAGGCTGGAGCGCAGTGGCGCGATCTCAGATCACTGCAACCTCCATCTCCCAGGTTCAAGCAATTCTCCTGCCTCAGCCTCCTGAGTAGCTGGGACTACAGGTGTGTGCCACCATGCCCGGCTGATTTTTTTTTGTATTTTTAGCAGAGATGGGCTTTCACTGTGTTAGCCAGGATGGTCTCAATCTCCTGACCTCCTGATCCACCCACCTCAGCCTCCCAAAGTGCTGGGATTACAGACACAAGCCACTGCGCCTGGCCATTTATCCACTTTTAGGGATTCTGCCTTCAGGAGTTTCTCCCCTAAAAAAGTGCATTCACAATCACCCTCTCATGCTGCACAGGATAGGCATTCACACACGTGACATGTCTATTTATGATGGACTGCATGAAGCTTGCCTTATTGCTTAGGCGTGTATTTCATCCAGGTGGTTTTGGAGCTGGGCAGGCAGGAACAGGTTATGGAGCTAGTGGGTGAGTCCAGCCGGCTGCCCCTCTCCTCTATCTGGGTCTGGCTTTGTTGCTGGCTATTTGTGGTCTCATATTCATGGGGTGAGTAGCAGGGGTTTTTAAAGTAAGCACTTCAGGGTTTGCAAAGCTAGAGTTTCAATATCAAGAACCTACACACACACAAAATTAGGTCTCTGACCCAAAAGAGAAAACCAAATAGGACCACATCTCACCCAGGTGAAAACCCTTCAACAGCTGTCCAGTGCTCTGAGAATGAGCCCAAAGCCTTAGAATGCCCTGTAAAGCCTGGTGTGGCCTGGCCCCTGCCTCCGCTCCAGTTTCCATGCACATCACACTCCCCCACCATGCTTATGCTCCAGCCATGCAGGCATTCTCTCCCACTCACACAGTCAGATACCTGCTGCCTGCCTGCCTCTGGGGCTCGCAGCCCCCTTAAAGACCTGGGGCTCTTTCCCGGCCTCCATCTGCTGGCTCCAAGTCATCTTTCAGGCCCAGGTCCAGTGTTCTTCCTCAGAACAGTCTTCCCTCATCCAGGTCAGCTCTTCCAGTGCCCCTGCTCCCCTCTCCCGGGGGCTGGACCTGCTGTGTGCCATCAGTGTTGATGGGGCCTGCAGTGCACTTGGCCTTCCTCTCCAGGCTGTCCTCAGCACTCATATACCCTCAGGACTCAGCCCAGCATCTGGCCCAGCCTGGCCCCCCCATGCACGTCTTGACTGGATGAGCTCCAGGGCTGCTGCTCTGAGTAATTCTGGACAAGGTCATGGAACCTGGTGCTCCAGCCTGCTTGGCTTTAGAGAGTAAAACCAGCTTTGTTAAGCCTTGGAAATTCTGAAAATCACCTGCAAACCTCACCTATTTGGCAAGTGCTGATTCTAGTCCAACCTCTTCAATATACAGATGAGGAAACAGGCCCAGATGACAGGATAGGGGTGTGGCTTTGAAAAGGCAGAGCTGGGGATAGAACCAGATACCCTACATCCCAGCTTGGGCTCCTTCCTGACTCTCCACTTCCCAGGGGAACCGAGCTAGATGCCTCCTGGAGCTGGAAGAGAACTGTGGGGAGGGGAGGAGGGAGAATGGCCAAAGGCAAAGGCCACGCTGAGAAAGGCCCAAGCCCATAACTGGCTGGGGACACAGGAGATCAACAAGCTGACCTGAGCTGCACATACCACCTACTCAAGGTACATTAATACAGACGCAGCATGCCTGAGTTATTCCATACAATGACTTACAGTAGATAAATAAAGATCCCAAAGTGGACATCATGCTTATACTCCAAAACAGTAGCTATGTGACTTGAGCCATCACCACTTGAGCCTGGTGTCAAATACGGGCTGAGAAATGGGGTCCAAGAGCCCCAGTTCTGGTTTTGCTGGGGCTGATTCACCCTAGCTTATTACAATTCCCCCAAAGAAAACCCATTGAAAGATTAGGGAGAGTAATGAGAGCTTTCTTTGAGAACCCAATTCGAGACTCTGATTTCAAACTCCTGCAAAAGCTACTGCTGTCAGGAGTGGGTAGGTCCTTCACAATGTGAAGAAATTCCATGGTGCACCCACTGAGGAGCCCTACACAGGGTAACACAGGGAAGGGCTTTTGCTCTTTTTCTTTTCTTTCAGAACCATTTTGCACATTTTAAAGACACATTAAAATGGCAGTGGGGAAATCAATTGCTCTTCCACTTGACTTCCCAGGGGATAGGCATCCAGCCACCATCTCTGGAGCCCGCAAAGCCTGGCCTGCCCCTTGGGCTGGTGCACAGTGGTTCACTGCACCTCATGGTGATGCTTTAAGGAAGTCCTCACCAGGCAAGTCTAGAGGCTTGGGGAACTGAGGGCACTTGGTCACTAGCTGGTGGCAGAGTGGGAACCTGCACCCACTCCTAACTCTACACTGCATATGCGGCTCATACCACCTGGCCTCTCCATGTGTTCTGGACCCACCTGCTTCCTGATTCACACACGGGAGAACATTTGCGAGGGGAAGGAAGTGGTGGTGACCTATGCCCAGAATGAATTCTAATTTCTGAGTGTTAAAGGTGCCACCTGAGAACATCGGGAAACACTGAGCCAAGGGGAAAGTCCTGTCATCGAGTAGGAGATGACAAATGCAGCGTGCTCATTAAGATGCTGTGAGTGCAGCCAGAGGCAGCTCTGTGCATGTGGGGGCTGCAACTGTCACATGGCCTGGAGCTTGCCAGGCCCCAAGACTCTGCCCACATCATCTCAGCCCCCACTTCCTGGGGCCCTGATCGCATTTCAGACTTGTGCCCTGACAGGTGGCAACTGCAGGGGAGAAGGGACCCTGTGGATATTTCTGAATGTCACTGGACCCATCAATGTCTGTTTCCTTCAGGCTGCCCATGTCAATGACCCATCAATGTTGTGTGATGGGCCAGGCTGTGCCATGCAAGAGTGTCATGGTCTGTGCCCCTGATTACTCCCCCTCACGGCTCAAAGAGGAGGACCCAAGCTAATGTGAAAATCACAGGCACTGTGATTGGGTGCTAGATGAAACTTCACGCAGGGACCCGGCCAGCCCTGCGACCTCCCTGAGGGCGACGGCTGGGGACATGGGTCATGTCCACAGATTAGTCTCAGGGAAAAGGAGGATGCACCTGACTTCAAGGCCCGTAGCTTCCACACACTCCCCCCTCATCCTGGACATGTGTCCTCACCTGAACAATGGCCCCATGACTGGTTGTGCCTCATGGGACCCAGGAGATGGAGAGACGCAGCCACACCTCATAGGAGCAGGGCGGCCAGCCTCATTCTCTGCCAAATCCGCAGCGCCCAGCACAGTATCTGGCACATGACAGGCACTCCAGCATCGCTGAGTGCACAGGTTAACAAAAAGCATAAAGTACCTACTAGGCTCCTTCCCCTGCTCTGGTTATTGCATGGGTTCCGCCTAGAGGACTTAACTGAAATGTAAAGAATTGTTGAGAAGAAGGAAACTCCAGGTTTTTGTTTTTGGTTTTGTTTTTTTTTTTTGAGACGGAGTCTCGCTCTGTTGCCCAGGCTGGAGTGCAGTGGCGCCATCTCGGCTCACTGCAAGCTCCGCCTCCCAGGTTCACGCCATTCTCCTGCCTCAGCCTCCCAAGTAGCTGGGACTACAGGCACCCGCCACCATGACCGGCTAACTCAGTCACTGCAGGCAAGTTCAGCTCCGAGGTCTTCCACTCATCCACCGAAATGGACAGAGGATTCCTCTTCTCGCGGTTTCAGAGTCCCTTTGTTAGGGGCGGCTCTGGAATTCTATGTAGAAGGGAACTGACGGGTAGCAACCTAGGAAACTCATTAAAGCTGCATTGCAATAGCAAACGCAATATATTTATTTAGCTTGTGTGATCTAAACTTTTAAAAATATCAATCTTTCCAATTCACACTTCCCATAAAAATTGAAGAACGTATATTTTAAGGTGGTTTAAAGGGGCTGTTGGGGATTATTAGGAGTAAAAGGCATTGCACAGAGGCCATCTCAGAGCGCCATCGCCAAGATTGGGTGGTCTCCGGACGCAGGCACAACCTGGAGATAAAGAGGCTCGCGCTTGGTACCCGCCCCTTTGCGAAGGGCAGGTGACACCTAGGCTGCGGGCGGGCGGGGGACCCAATTTCGCATGCGCGGGGCGGTGTTGGGGGGCGGGGCGAGCGGCTGCCTCGCGGATTCGCGCGGGTGGTGAGAGTGGCCAGCGAGGGCAGCGTTCGCCGCCCCTCAGGCCCCGTCCCGGCGCCGCAGCCGCCTGCGTTTCGGTTTGTGAGCAGGCCCGGCCGGGCCAGGAGCGAGAGCGAGACTCTGGAGCGGTCGCCGCCGCAGTCGCCCGGGCCGGGAAAGGCGGGCGATGCCCCCAACCGCCGCTCGGGCCATGTCCGAGGGGCGCGCGTGTTGTCGCCGCCGGGGCGCCGTGCCCGCCTGTCGTCCCCCGGGCCCAGCCGCTCGTCCGAGGCCCGCGAGGAGCTGCGCCGCCACCTCGTGGGCCTCATCGAGCGCAGCCGGGTGGTGATCTTCAGCAAGAGCTACTGTCCCCATAGTACTCGGGTAGGCGCGGCCCTCGCCGGTTCCACCGCGCGCGACCGGGCCCGCCACGCGGACGCCACCCGGGGCAGGGCGGGTCCGGGCCGGGGCGCCCGCGGGTCCCGGGCTGCGGCGGTGAGGTCAGCCGTCCGTCCTCTCCTCTCCCCGGTCGTCCCCTGAGGTGGGCTTGTGATAGTTTATCAAAACAGAAACTCTCCTAATTGCGTGACCTCGACCCGGGTTAGGACCCTGTGCAGAGCCTCAGTTCCCCCGTTTGTGAAACGAAGGTACGGGAAGGTTGTTAGGACGACTGAGGTAATTTCAGCTTCATGCACACTGCCTTAACTTTTCGGGGCGGACTAGGAATCCGGCATTATTTCTAAGGACAAATGTATTCTGTGTTTAAGAATACTTCACTTAGAAACGAGCCTTTGGGTGATAACCTACGTGTAAGGTACAGACTTTCAACGTTTAGGAATTTACTTCATTTTACAGAAAGTTGAAAAATGATACGTGGAAGACAGTATGCAAAAGCATAAACTATTGGGTTGAGTTCATGAAATTATAGGCTGTGTTTTTCAAATATATTTGAAGTTTACATTGATGTGTATAGTTTCTTAAAACATATATTATGCATATATATTTTTAAGAATAATAAAGTGACACTAGTACTGTAGAAGCTTCCTTGGCTGTCTCCTCCCTCCCTCAGGGTTAACCACTATGCAAAATTTCCTTTTTTTTTTTTTACATTTTTACCAAATATATATATTATTCATCAATATTTGGTTCCTTTTGGCCTGTTTTGGGACTTGATATAAATAGAACCATACATACATAGGTATTCTTCTGCAGTTTTCTTCCTCAACAGTTATGTTTCAGAGATTCATGCATGTTAGTATCTGTAGCTGGGGTTCATTAATTTTCGTTGCTGACTATTCCCTGGGATGAATCGTACCGGAGTTTATCATTCTGCTGTTTTTGGTATTTTGGTCTTAAAAAACAGTACAGCTATATGTTTATTCTTGCACGTAACTCCCAGCGCATTTATAAAAGACTTAACTCTAGAATAGGTATCTTGAAGCTGAGTTGCTGGGTCATAAAGGATGCATGATTTCTACCTTAGCAAGGTAATGCCCAACTGAGTTTCCAAGTAGTGATACCAATTTACTCTGCTCCTAGTTTGGAACAATTCATCTTGCTCTACATCCTTGCTAACAGTTGATATTTTTAATTTTTGCCATTCTGGCAGTTTTGAAATGGCATTCCATTATGGTTTGATTTTGCATTTCCCAAATGAAGTCCAGTGTGTTCATGCATCATTTGAGCTTCCTCTTCTGTGAAATTATATAGCGTGTTTTTCATTTTTTTCAGGCCTTTTGCCTATTTTCCTATGCAGTGGTTTTTAGTTGTTTGTACTGACTTATTCTTTATATATTTAGGATGCTTATTCTTTGGTTATGTATACAGTAAGTGCTCACTCAACATTGTTGATAGGTTCTTGGAAACCAACCTTAAGCCAAATGGCATGTAACAAAACCAGTTTTATTGTAGGCTAATCGATAGAAATAAGAGTTAAGTTCCTATGGCATATTTCTGACCACAAAAAGAAATCACCAGACTTTTAAATAAAGACCCAAAACATGTCTAATATTAAACATTGAAATAAACGTGAGCTATACATACATTTAAGAGAGATTAGTGAGAACAAGGAAGAAAATTATTTACCCAATTTCTGGTGAGTCAGGAGAGGTTGGGTTCTAATGGTGGTGGGTGAAATAAAAAAATGTTTGCAAAGCAGAATTTTAAGGAGCACCTCGTGCCACTGGGCAGTTCAAAAACAAAATCAGAGTCCCTTTGTTAGGGGCGGAGGGTGCACTGCATTCGTTATTGTTTGCATCTATATGATTATTGTCTACTTGATGAAGTTTTATTTGGCAATAATTTATATTTGCTTATTCATTCCTTTTCCAACCCACTTACTCCATTTCAGGGTTGCAAGTGGCCAGAGCCTATCTTGACAGCTCAGGGTGTTAGGCGGGATCCAAACCTGGCTGGGACACCATCCCATTGCAGGTGCACTTGCACACACACCCACACTCTCTGTGACTGGGAAAATGTAGATACACCAATTAGCCTAACATGGACATCTTTGGGATGTGGGAGGAAACCGGAGTACCTGGAGAAAACATGAAGAGAAGGTGCAAACTCCACTTGACAGTGGCTCTGGCTGGAAATAGTTTTTTAAATCACTGTTGTAATGAAATAATGTTATTTGAGGACCTGCTGCTGTAGAAAATCGGTCAGATTTAGCTTCCTTTTTCACTCTTTTTATGGGATTGATATGGTTTGGATCTGTGTCCCCACCCAAATACTGAAATGTAATCCCTAATGCTGGAGGTGAGGCCTGGTGGGAGATGAATGGATCATGGGGGTGGATTTCTCATGAATGGTTTAGTATCATGCCATTGGTACTGTCCTCATGATAGTGAATTCTCATGAGATCTGGTCATTTAAAAGTGTGTAGCATCTCCCCACCCCACTGTCTTGCTCCTGCCCTGGCCATGTGAAGTGCTGGCTCCCCCTTTGCCTTTTGCCATCATTGTAAGTTTCCTGAGGCCTCCCAGAAGCCAGGGAGATGCCAGTATCATGCTTCCTGTAGAGTCTACAGAACCGTGAGCCAATTAAACCTCTTTTCTTTATATATTACCCAGTCTCATATTTCTTTATAGCAATGGGAGAACAGACTAATACAAGGATCTATTCATTAACTGAAGTTTGTAAATTTAATGTATTTGCTTCTATCGTTCTTTTCCTTTTATGGCTTGCTTTTGGTGTCTTTTTTAAGAAATCTGTTTCTATTCAGAGATCATAAAGATATTCTCCTGTTTTAGCTCCTGAAAATTGAATAGTATGCTTTTCATACCTACATTCTTGACGTCTACTTGGGATTGATATTAGTAATAGGAGTGGGGATTCAGTTTGTTTTCTTCTTTGTGACTTCTCAGGTGTTCCTGTTTCCTTTTTTGGAGACCCCATCCTTTCCACACTAGTTCGTATGCTCACTCATCATTGATCAGGTTCTCATGTATGTGTTGGACTATTTCTGGGGTCTGTTTTCTATCTATATTTCTTAAGAGTTGTCCTTTGTAGTTTGCATAAACACCAAGAGATCAGAACTGTCTGTCTACTGCTGTATTACTGGGGCCTAGACAATAGTGTCAGGCACATAATGTAGGGTGAATTATCTTAAATAATGTTAGTCAAATCTTTCCTGATACAGAAAAATCTTAGGACAAATGATCCTCTATTCTGTATGTGTTAACATTTTCAGTAATGTGGCCACCATTTTGAGTCCCATGACATATTTGGACAACTCTGATTATTGGAATTTTTTTAAGTGAAGCAAAATCTGCCTCTCTGAAATATTTATTCATTCTTGGAGGTGAGCATTGCTCCAGTGGGCAGAATTAAGAACCTTGCTTCTGCTTGGAAGGCAGATCTTCCCGTACTTTCGCCAAGTGTTTTTCTTGCTTGACTGAGTAGCCTGCTTTCTTACATGTCCGTCTTTACATGTGGCCGCTCACTAACTTGGTTGTACAGTTTTCTTTTTGCCCATGAACCTCTTAAATGTATCCCCCAAAATTAGACACCATATTCCACATATGTTCTTATCCTTGCAGAGTCAAGGAGAGAGATTTGTTTCTTCATTGGGCTGCTAATGGCATTCAATAAGTGTTATTGGGTGCTTAGTGTTGCAGAGACACAGAAATGAATAAGCCTTGGTCTTGCCTCCCATACGCTCATAGTCTAATTGAGCTGTAATCAACCAGCTTGTTTGTGTAGAAAGAAGTGCGTAAGAAAAACAAGAGTTGTGGGAATAAGAGATAAAACAGTGGCTTCTGTGGAGGATCAGAACAGTCTAAGAAAATGCCATGTAAGCTGGTCCTTGAGAGTCTGTAGGTAAGAAAGAGCATCTAGTTAAGAAACTAGTATCAGCAAAGATAGATAACGATAAAAGGAAAATAGTATGGCTGAGCACAAAGTATATGCAAGGGAATCAGGAAGATTCATTGGAAAATGGCTGGAAGTTTAGTTTCAAAGGTGATTTAGGGAGGTCTTTTTTTTTTTTCTGAGATGGGGTCTTGCTCTGTTGCCCAGGCTGGAGTGCAGTGGCTTGATCTTGGCTCACTGCAACTTCTGCCTCCCAGTCTCAAGTGATCCTCCCACGTAAGCCTTCCAAATAGGTGGGACTACAGGTGCATGCCACCACACCTCAGTAATTTTTGCATTTTTTGTACAGACAGTGTTTCACCATGTTGCCCAGGCTGGTCTCGAGCACCTGCACTCAAGTGATCCACCGCCTGGCCTCCCAAAGAGCTGGGATTACAGGTGTGAGCCACCGTGCCTGGCCAAGGAGGTCTTAAAATGCTTGCTAATAAGTGTGGACTTAATGATGTGGCAAAGAAAAGTCATCTCACGCTTGTGAGCAGCGTCTGACCTGTGATTTGAAATCTAGCCATCATATGAAACTAGGCTCAGTGTAGAGGCAGCTAGACTAGTTGGAAAGTCAATGTTAAAGGACAGATGTAAGATAATAACGCAAACTATACAGTGAATAAAATGCCCTGACTTTTAGAAGTACTTTCCCCACATTAATTTTAAGCCATGTTTCCCCAGTCCTGAATTCATACATTTGTGAATTACAAATTTATATTTCCATTGGTTTGCTTTTGCTTTTTTAAAAATATTGTGATAAAATTCACATAACATAAAACTTACCATTTTTAACTATTTTTTAGTGTAGAGTTCAGTGGCACTACGTACATGTACATTGTTGTGCAACCATCAGCAGCATCCATCCACAGAACTTTTTCATCTTCCCAAACTGAAATTCTATACCCATTAAACACTTACTCCCTTTTCCTCCTTCTCCCAGCCCCTCATGACCACCGTCTGACTTTCTGTCTCTATGAATATGACTGCTTTAGGTACCTCATATGAGTTGAGTCATACAGTATTTGTCTTTTTGTGTCCAGTTTATTTCACTTAGAGTAATGTCCTAAACATTCAACCATGTTGTAGCATGTGTGAGAATTTCCTTTCTTTTAAAGACTGAATCATATTCCACTGTATGTATATAACACATTTTGTTTATCCATTTATCTGTCAATGGTCACTTGCATTGCTTCCACCTTTTGGCTATTATGAATAATGTTTCTATGAACATGGGTGTACAAATATTTATTTGAGTCTCTGCTTTCAGTTCCTTTTGGTACATACCTAGAAATGGAGTTGCTTGATTATGTGATATTTCTATTTGTAATTTTTTGAGGAACTGTCATTCTGTTTTCCATAGTGGCAACACTATTTTACATTCCCACTAAAGTGCACAAGGGTCTCAGTTTCTCTGCATCCTCACCAACATTTGTTATTTTCTTTGTTTTTAAAAATAATGCTTATCCTAATGGATGTGAAGTATTATTGTGGTTTTGATTCACGTTTCACTAAAGATTAGTGATGATGAACAACTTTTCACGTGCTTATTATTGGCCATTTATATCTCTTATTTGAAGAAATCTATATTCAAGTGCTTTCCCATTTTTAAGTTGGGGTTTTAACTTTTTTGTTCTTGAGTTTTAGGAGTTCTCTATATAATCCAGATATTAATCCCTTATCATATATGTGATTTGCAAATACCCTATTCAGTTCCTTGGGTCACCTCTCTACTCAGTTGATAATGTCCTCTTTTCTTTTTAAGAGATGGCATCTTGCTATGTTGCCCAGGCTGGAGTGCCGTGGCTATTCACAGGTGTGATCAAAATGCACTACAGCCCCAAACTCCTGGACTCCATGATCCTCCTGCCTCAGCCTCCTGAGTAGATAACTGTCCTTTGATGAACAAGAGTTTCAAATTTTTGTGAGGTGCTATTTGTCTGTTGTTTCTTTTGTTGCTTGTGCCTTTGAGATCATATCCATAAAATCATTGTCAAAGCCAGTGTCGTGACACTTTTGCCGTATATTTTCTTCTAAGAGTTTTGTAGTTTTAGCTCTGACATTTGGGTCTTTGACCCATTTCGAGTTAATTTCCATACATGGCGTTAGGTAAGGGTCCAGTTTCATTCTTTTGTTAGTGGACAGCCAGTTTTCTCAGCATCATTTGTTGAAAAGACTCTCCTTTCCCCATTGAATGGTCTTGGCACCCTTGTAAAAAATCATTTCCCTGTATATGTGAGGCTTTATTTCTGTCCTTTCTGGTCTCTTCCTTGGTCCATAAGCCTGTCTTTATGCCAGTACGGCACTGTTTTGATTACTGTATCTTTGTAGTAAGTTTTGTTGTTCTTCTTTACAAGATTGTTCTGGTTATTCAGGGTCCTTTGAAATTCCATATGAATTTTAGGATGGATTTTTCTATTTCTGCAAAAAAAGATCATTGGGATTTTGAAAAGGATTGCATTAAATCTGTAGAGTGCTTTGGGTACTACTGACATATTTGCAAGTATAAAATCTTCCAATCCATGAACATGGGATATTGTTATTTGTTGCTATCTTATTTAATTCCTTTCAGCAACATTTGTGGTTTTCAGCATCCAAGTCTTTTGCTTTCTTGGTTAAGTTTCTTCCTAAGTATTTAGTTCTTCTTGTTGCTATTATAAATGAAATTTTTTTTCTCAATTTCTATTTTGGATTGTTCGTTATTGGTATACAGAAAATCAACTGATTTTTGTGTGTTGATTTTGTACAATGCAACTTTGCTGAATTTCTTTATTTCAACAGTTTTGGTATGTGTGTGTCTGTGAAATCTTTAGGTTTTCTACGCATGAGATCATGTTGTCTGTGAACAGAGATAATTTAACTTATTTTCCAGTTAGGATGCCTTTTATTTCCTTTTCTTGTGGTATTGCTCTGGCTAGGACTAATAGTACTTTTTTGGAGGGGGACAGGGTCTTCTTGCTGTGTCACCCAGGCTGTTGTGAAGTGGTGTGATCATGGCTCACTGCAGCTTCAAACTTCTGGGCTTCAGCGATCCTCCCACCTCAGCCTCCTGAGTACCTGGGACTACAAGGCATGTGCCACCATGCCTGGCTAATTTGTTTTTTTATTTTTTGTAGAGATGGGGTCTTACTGAGTGGAAGGAGAGGAGTAGCATTGTGGGTGTGTTGCCTGTGAGATGCCTGTGGGACACGCAGGTGGAAAATAGATACTGCCTATTTGAGTTCAGAAAAGAGATTTGGGCCAAAGTTGTAGATTTGAAAGTCATAAGAGACAGTAAAAAGAAGGCAAGGGATGGCCTGAGATTATTCTGGGAAGATGTGTAGAGGAAAGGAAAAAATCAAAAACAAAAACAAAAACCACACGTTGGCTAGAACTCCTGTTCCTCCAGAACATTTATTGTTGACATCTCTCATTACTATGTTCATATTTCATAGCTGTTGAATCTTTTCTGAGAGTGAAACTTAGCTAAATTTTTTTTACAGGTGAAAGAACTCTTTTCTTCTTTGGGAGTCGAATGTAATGTCTTGGAACTTGATCAAGTTGGTAAGTAGACCAGTTACAACATAGTGTTGTTTATAATAAATGCCAGCGAGATTGACTTCTTTCCATTTACTTTGTTCAATTCAGATTACTCTTGTCTTCGGGTTAAATGAGGCATTTTTGTCTACATTCAGCCATGCAGAAAATGAACCCTAATGTGGCAGATAAATTGGTGTAGTTTTTTTATTTATACATTTTCCATATTTGAGGGAAGGGAGTGGGAGGAAGATATATAAGCTGCTCCCTTTGAAGTACTTAAGGCATTTCAGATGTATCTGCCAGCTCTCTAGCAGAACAGATAAAGCTGTAACAAATGAAAAGGATCCGCTCCCATTTCCTGGCTGTGTCATCCACCAGGGAGAGTGCATTAAGTTTTTAGCTTTATACTTTTGAATTCTTGGCATTCATACATCTAATATTAGTTCAGCACTTTACACATAAGGAGTTTTTCAGGGGTGAGGGCATGGTGATGAACAGAACAAGTTTGATTTCTGCCTTCATAGAACCTCACTGACTCACTTTAAAGTTGCCTTAATGAATGAAATGCTCTTGAATCTTGGAGACTTTTCTAAAGGGTTTACCAATAAGGTAGTCTTAAGTAGTGATGGACCAGTTTTATTTTTAGGGATGGAAGATAAATATTGGACTATGACCATAAACATTTTTCAAATGTAATTGTAAGAAGTATTTTCTGGGTTATTGTTACAGCGATTTTATCTTGATTCTTGCTCTTTAAAGAGGGCTCTTATCTGTCTTGGCATAGTCACTGAATAATATGTCAAAATCTAATTTTGAAGGGTTTATCTTTGAAGGAATCAGTAGATCTTTATTTTTTAAGATTTTCTTTGAAAGCAAGGATGTTTTCCCCTCTTGAGTTATCATTTCATAAAGTTATATAACACACTGACCTGTTATGAGTATGTACATGTGAACATTTGAGTGTTGTAACACTTTGTTTAACTCACAAAGATTTGAAACTCTTTTCAGTGTTTTTATATATAGTTTTTTTCTTCTTTAGATGATGGGGCCAGGGTTCAAGAAGTGCTGTCAGAAATCACTAATCAGAAAACTGTGCCCAATATTTTCGTGAATAAAGTGCATGTAGGTGGATGTGACCAAACTTTCCAGGTAATAATACTATTATATGTTCTTCAATGCTGTTTGTTCATATTTTAAAAAAGTATTTAAAAGAGGAGAAAATGGTTTTTAGGAGTCCACTCATCTTTTGGAAGTTATAAAATGAAGCATATAGGATAATTATCAGATAATACTGATTGCTTTAAGGGAAATTAGCTTTTCTGCCAGCCTGAACTTCAGAAGCTAGGATTTTTGTGTGAGGGCACCAGGACAAACCAGTGGGCCACCCTGGAGACATCCCAGGTCTTTTCCTCCTTGTAGGGAGAGATAACATTAATGTTTGCCCAGTAGAAAGAGGTCAACACTGCCATTCTTGTCTAGGACAATTAGAATTCCTGTTAAGACTGCTAACCTTGGGGTGGTTGCCAAAGGCCTATGGCTTTTGATTTTTTGATTCCTAGAGTGCTAAAAATGAGCAGGAGTTGTTAGGTAAGCAGTGATAGATAAAAATTGTTTATTAAATAAGATCCTTATTTTATAATTAGTTATTTACTTTTATTAAAATTCTACTCTGTCATATCCTTTATATATGTATACAATATGAGTAATCAGTGGTTGATTAAATAGTTGTATTTGAGACTTTAATTAAGAATTATATTTTTGTGGAGAAAAAAGATTGTCTATGTTGTGTGTTAATCTATGATCAGCATCCTTATGCAGTAACAATCTGCTTTATTAGTCCTAGAATTTATAACCTAGTTCACATAGTGGTAAGTCCTGTAAACACCTTCTGAAGTGCTTGTCTTGCCAATCCTAACTTGGAAAATGATGTCCAAGAATAAATCTGTAGATGCAGAGAGAGCAATTCTATTATTTCAAGACAGAAAGATATTTCTTGGATGGCAGATTCTGAGGAGGTGGATTTCCCTAAGGGCACCTAAAAGTAAGGAGGCCATAGGGACCCTTTTTAGAATGTCCCTAAAACCTTCTTGGGCACCCATTCTTCATGGGGACACATGGCATTTGGTGAGTCCACGTAGTTATGAAGCATCTGTTGTGTGTTACAGGAAGGGCTAGTTTGATCATGGTATTTGTCTAAAGCCAAGGTAATGGGAGTGAGCAACTGACTTGGCATAAAGAAAACTGTTACTAAATCACACATCGAACCTCTAACATCATCTAAGCTACTTCTGATCACAAGGAGGGCCAAATGAGCAAGAGGATATGGCCCAGGGCCAGCATCATGACTGTTGCTGAAAGAAAATGGGAGATGTTGGTGTTGTAAAGGAAGCTCACCTGTGTAACTACAAAAGTTAGATCGATTTATGAGAAGCCATGACAAAATTTGCTGATAATGCATAAGAATTGTTTTCAAAATGAAGACTAGCACAAGTGAGCTAATGAAAAATGATACTTGGCTATTCCACTGCACTTGACTATAATATTTTGATAATTAGACCAAGGAAAATGACCTCATCTTACATAGGTACAGAGCCACAACCTTCTAGGTTATTTGACACATTCCTAGCTGTCAGGTGTAAGAAGGGACAAAAACATATGTACTTTGGTATAAGTTCTAACTAGTTGGACCCTGTTTTTAAATAGCATCCAGATAAATTTACAACTCCAACTTAGATGAATTATAGATTTTTCCTAAGATTTTTATAAAAGAAATCCATACCAGTTGAACATAGGGTGTACATAAATAGCTGTAAAACTTTAAATTCTGCAGTGTTCTTTCTCCTGTAATTAAACCATAGGCATATCAGAGTGGTTTGTTACAGAAGCTCCTTCAGGAAGATTTGGCATATGATTATGATCTCATCATCATCGGTGGTGGTTCTGGAGGCCTTTCATGTGCGAAGGTATGAATATAGAAATGAAACTCGTAGATAATTTTCCTGATGACTGCCATAGCTATTTCTTCTGCTACTTAAAAAAAAACAAACTAATGTTACAGTTTAAGCTTTTGTTGTAATAGCTGGTATAATTCAGGTAAAAGATTGTGTGTCACACAAAAACAGTCTTTTACGGAAGACAAAGATTGAGGGAGTGTCAGGAAAGTGACAAGATCTTTATACGTAATTTTTGTTGTTGTTCGTTTGTAGGAAGCTGCCATTTTGGGAAAGAAAGTTATGGTGCTAGACTTTGTTGTCCCGTCACCTCAGGGCACATCCTGGGGTAAGTTGTTTTTCTCTGTTGTTCCTCTCTGCTCTTTACATATGTTGTTTGCTTTATGTAATCTCATTTAATCCTCACAACAATCTCAAGAGGTATAACTCGCCTGTTTCTTGGATAAGAAAACAAGCGAGTCTAGGCCTGGCCCAGAGGCTCATGCCTGAAATCCCAGCACTTTGAGAGGCCCAGAAGTTCCAGACTAGCCCGGAAATATAGTGAGACCTTGTCTCTATTCAAAAAAATAAAAAAATTTTAAAAAAATTAAAAAAAAGAAACTGAGTCTTAGTGAGGATATAGTTAACAAGCAGTGATGTTGGAAAGATAATATAAACATTAATAAGGAAGATTTTGCAAAAAGAAAAAAAAATTCCATGACCACAGTATTTCAGCACTTCTGCCGTAGTATTTTTTTGAGTGTATAGTTGAGGTCACAGTGTATGTACTGTGTCGTGGTCACGTAAGTTTGCCAGAAACACTTTTCTTTGTTTCTGTGTCGGTTTCATAATTGACTATATTAGCTGCACAATAGCTGATGGAGTGAGTGTATGTAATAATTACAGTTTAGCTTAACAAGGAGACCAATGACCAGCCCTGTGACTCTGCTGTCTACTGTAGACTAGAGTGCTCACCTTTCCATGTTGTTTTTCCACAGTGAAAAGAGCACATAGATTTTGTGCTGGATGTTTTCCATTTATTCTTTAAATGCATTCCCCCTCTGCCTCTGCCCTGCTGTACGCTCCATAAGACTGATCTGTTGGCAGCCTTGCCCTCTGGCTTCTGGGGCAGCTTGGCCACTTTGGGGTAAGGGGAAGAGGGCAGAGGAAGAGTGGAGTTGGGATTTTATTCCCCTGGCTCCTTCCCTGCTGGGTCCCTGCATCTTCCTGTGGAAGGCCACCCCCTCCATTGGATGGCTGGCTCCCTCTGGGTGGTGGCACTCAGTCTCCTTGCCCCTTCACATGGGGCTGCCAATGGTACACTGCTGTCACTAGTTTAGGGAACTATTCTATCCCTTTTTGCTCTTCCTGCTTACACCTTTGTGATAATTTCTCTGTTAATCCTTCAGTTACCCAACTCAAGTGTGTCTTCTCTTTTCTGCTAGAAAAAATTTTCTGGCAGATTTTTTTCACATAAAGTGTAAAAATCAATTTTTAAAATTCAAACTTACTCAGAAAGTTATAGCCTAGAATTTTATGTACAAAAGCTAATCTACTTCGATTTTTCTCATAATGTTCTTGTGGTGTGTGAACACTTGTTTTCTGTCCCTCACCCTGGCCTCTTTCCTCTTTTTCTCCTCCCTTTCTCCCTTTCTTGTCCAGAAATAATCCTACTTATCTGGGATACCAGAACACCTGCAGTCAGAGAGAATCTGAGACCTGCCCTGCAAAGGGGCACTCCGTTTTGCGTAATCCATTTTGTGTTGTTCAGGACTCAGAGTAAATGTGACCAGGCAGCTTGCAGTTGACAACGTGGCTCCGAGGAGTCAGAGTTATGGAGAGTACAGGGCTGGGAGCTGAGATTCTCACCCTTGGTGTAGTACATATCTAATTAATCTTAGATCATTCTGATCTCTGTGGATCAGACTGAAGTGAAAGTTTTGGATGCTGTGCCCAGAAAACTTCTCACATGCACATCTGTATTTTTACTCATCTTTGGGTCTCTTCTGTGAACCCGTAGTTGGAAAATTTGGGTTAATCCCTTGTGTCTTATTTTGGGGTGGGGTGTCATCCCCCCCACCATTGAGCTTGTCATTTCCACATGTTTTAATATAATATGATTGCAGATGTGTGAAACTAGACACACAAAGAAGCATTAAAACTTATTTTCTTCCTCAGGTCTTGGTGGCACTTGTGTAAATGTAGGTTGTATTCCTAAGAAATTGATGCATCAGGCTGCCCTTTTGGGGCAGGCATTATGTGACTCAAGGAAATTTGGCTGGGAATATAATCAACAAGGTGAGTAATGGTTCATAAAGTATAGATTGAGAGAAAAGAAAAAATGAGTTTTTTAGATAAAGACTTGGTATTCATATTTTTATAGTTGAGTTCGTAATTCATTTAATGAACATTCATTAGGAAGCTACTGTGTCAGCCAGGCACAGAGGATGCAAAAGGGCCCCCCGCTCTTGTGGGCCTCACCACCTAGAGAGGGAATTGTCTCAGCTGCAGCAATTCCACACCCTTAGCAGAATGTAAAAGATTAAGTAATCGCTATTTTCAGACTTCTTTCAAGTATAAGAAAAATAGAATAGCAAAGGTTATTGTTTGAATTATATCTGTTATTATAACATTTTTTCTCAGTGGTTATATATATCTTTGGTTAATGAAAAGTGGAAAAGAAATTCATCTAGTAAACATGTATTGGCTAAGCTCTGGGGATACAGATGTGAGGAAGACAGAGCTACCTGTAAGCAGCATGTAGTCCGTGGGAGAGAGACAAGGAGATCCATTCAGTGCACTCAAATTAGCCATGCTGCTTTGAGTATTGGCTCCATGTAGCCTTGAGGGTGGTGGGGGAGTGTCAGGGAAAGCTCTTCAGACAAGGTGACCCTTGAGCTGCATCTTGAAGGTCACAGAGGAGTAGGACCTTTAAGACTGGAAGCAGCTTGATGAACACTATGGAGATGTGAGGAAACATGGTGTTTTGGGGGGTTAATAGTGGCTGGAGTGAAGAGTAGATGAAGGGAGTTGAAGCAGGAGAGGAGCATGAGCCACGGCTGTGATTCTGAGTCCTACTGTCAAGCTAAGTAGCAAGCAGAAAAAAACTCCCTAAAGAAAATGATGCTTATTTGGGAAGTGGGCACTGCAGCTGGAATATGTGTGCCATAGTAAACTATTGTTTCCTACGCAAAAATGAGGAGGAGGATATGATTGTTTCGAAATGATTATCCTTGGCTACAAGGATCAATAACTAGGGTGACTCAAGTCTGAGGCTGGACAGGCAGTTGCTGGGCAGATGTCCTGGAAGATGTACTTTTATGTTAGGTTGTGATGGCCTTTGGGCAAGTTTGTGGTTTTTGTAGTCTTTGTGATGATTTTGTTATCAGGCATAGAAACCAGGAAACCCTTTCTTCATGGCCTTCCCCACCTCTGTTTGTCGGAGAGTTTTTTTTTTTTTTTTACACAAGTTACTCCATTTTGATTCTGACAACTTTCACACCTTTTATGGCACTGAGGAACTTAGAAAAGAGAGGAAAGGATAGGGAAGTGGGGGCAAGAAATGACAGAGGGTTGAGCAAAGACTGAAGTCTGGTTGAAGGGTAGTTGAAGGCATAAAATTGACCAGATATGGTGGCCAGTTGGATGTAGACACTTGGCTGTGTATCAGAATGTCTTGTGGACTTTAAGAAAAATTACAAACCACTTGTCTCTTTGTGCAGAGATTTTGATCTGGTAGATGTGGGCAGTGTACGTGCACATTTAAAGCATCATAGATGATCCTGGTTCTGACCGTAGCCAGGTGATTATGACAGGGCATCCAGGTCATGGTAGGATATGGATTGAGGGAGAGGAAAGAATACAGGAAGAGAGACTGGGGGGGAAATGGAATACTGTTCACTGAGATAGAAAACACAAGCAGCGGCCGGGCGCGGTGGCTCACGCCTGTAATCCCAGCACTTTGGGAGGCCGAGGCGGGCGGATCACGAGGTCAGGAGATCGAGACCATCCTGGCTAACACGGTGAAACCCCGTCTCTACTAAAAAAAATACAAAAAATTAGCCGGGCGTAGTGGCGGGCGCCTGTAGTCCCAGCTACTCGGGAGGCTGAGGCAGGAGAATGGCGTGAACCCGGGAGGCGGAGCTTGCAGTGAGCCGAGATCGCGCCACTGCACTCCAGCCTGGGCGACAGAGCGAGACTCCGTCTCAAAAAAAAAAAAAAAAAAAAAAAAAAAAGAAAACACAAGCAGCTTTGGTTTATTGGCAGGGTGGGGTTGAGTTCAGGATAATGGGTTGATGCTGGACACATTTCTCCAGTCAACTCAATGGAGAGCCTTAGGTCAAGCTAGGATCAGCTGGTTGTAGATAAAATGAGGCCTCCTGACTTGGCAGTGTAATTTTGGGGTAGTTTTATTTGCTTTCAAGAATCCTTCTTCTGGTTGGGCGTAGTGACTCACACCTATAATCCCAGCACTTTGGGAGGCTGAGGTAGAAGGATTGTTCAAGCCCAGGAGATTGAGACCAGCCTGGGCAACATAGTGAGACTCTGTCTCTACAAAAAATAGAAAAATTACTCTACAAAAAATAGAAAAATTAGGCAGGCATGGTGGCATGCACCTGTAGTCCTAGCTACTCGGGAGGCTGAGGTAAGAGGATAGCTTGAGTCCAAGGAGGTCAAGGCTGCAGTGAGCTCTGATTGCGCCACTGCACTCCAGCCTGTGCAACAGAATGAGATCTTGTCTCGGAAAAAGAAAAAAATCTTTCTTTTCCCTAAACCCTTCATCTTACTTGGACACTGTACTTCAGGTGCCTTGGGAACATCCTGGTAGAGTTTGCTGTATGAGGAAGGTTTGTTCCTGAAAGAGAGCTGGGCGAGAGCTGGGTGTGAGAGGCACAGCACATGGGGGACTGGGGAGAATGAAAAGCATAGAAAACAGAGACAGAACACTGAGATATTTTAATACCTATAGTAACTGGGTGAGGAAAAGGAGGAAAACCAAGAGAGTTGAATCACAGAAGCCAGGAGGAGTTTGGCTTTTTTAAGGGCATGATTGGGGCCTTAGGGAATCTAAAAAGAGCACTAACTGAATCAAATGCTGCAGAAAGGCTAAATGGAATAGGATTTGAATTATGCACATTTTGACTTGGCAGGTACTTATGGAATCTCTTTTTAAAATAAATATCTACACTGTTTCAAAACTAATTGAGTCCAAGAGGGGAGAAGCCCCTAAAACCTCAGTGGTAGGGAAGAGGCTGTAAAGGGTGAACCACAGCACTCACTCTGTGTTGGAGACACAGCAGGCAGAGGTGGCTTGTGTGGATGATATCAGACCTGTGTGGTCTGTGCCAGCTGGGGACCTTTCTGTGTGTTACTTCTGTCTGTTCTCCATTGTCTTACATTCTCAGAGATAGCAGGATGTCTGCACACATTGCTTTGCTGCACTCCCTGCCCCCATGGGGTCAAATGACGTTAATTCTGTTCTAAGTGCTGAATATTTCTAAATACTTTCTAATTTCCTTGAATGGGTAAAATCTTATAATTAGCTTCCTCAAAGTTCCCCCTATACAAAATACTTTCTTTTTTCTTTTTTTTGAGACAGAGGAGTTTCACTATGTTGCCCAAGCTGGAGTGCAGTGGTGCGGTCTCAGCTCACTGCGTTCCTCCATCTCCCGTGTTCAAGCGATTCTCCTGCCTCAGCCTCCCGAGTAGCTTGGATTATAGGTGCACACCACCACGCCTGGCTGATGTTTATATTTTTAGTGGAGACGGGGTTTCACCATGTTGGCCAGCCTGGTCTTGAACTTCCAACCTCAGGTGATCCACCCACCTTGGCCTCCCAAAGTGCTGGGATTGCAGACATGAGCCACCGTGCCCGGCTAAAATGCTTTCTAAGTCTTTGGGGTGCTGACTAAGAAATACTTAGCTAGCCAACACATGGTGTATTTAGGTATAGACTCAATAAAGGGCCAAGAGAAGTCATCAGAATCTGAGCAGCAAAAGAGAGGAAGTCAAAGCATGCCAAAATCATGTTCTGGGAGAATGTTCTAGATACTTGCATTCTTGATATTGATAAAGACATATAGGCTAGGCTGGACGTGGTGGCTCACGCCTGTAATCCCAGTCCTTTGGGAGACCGAGGCGGGCGGATCACGAGGTCAGGAGATCAAGACCATTCTGGCTAACACAATGAAACCCTGTCTCTACTAAAAATACAAAAAATTAGCCAGGCATGGTGGCATGCGCCTGTAGTCCCAGCTACTCGGGAGGTTGAGGCAAGAGAATCGCTTGAACCCAGGAGGCGGAGGTTGCAGTGAGCCGAGATCATGCCACTGCTCTCCAGCCTGGGCGACAGTGAGACTCCATCTCAAAAAAAAAAAAAAAAAAAAAAAAAAAAAAAGAGAGAGAAATATAGGTTAAAATAAGTTTATAATGTATAGATAATTTCCAGATTAGAAACTGAATGAGCTTTCAAGTGAAAGTTTAAAAAGAAAGGGGAAAATATACAAAGAGAAGGTAGTAAAGAAAAAATAGAAAGGGAAGCAACATGAAACTACAAGTTAAAACAAACAAAAATAGCAACAGAAAATAAGATACCTTACATAAGAGTAGTCATATTACTTACTAGGATAAAGCTGAATGAGTCAGATTTTTGGGTTAGTAGATGGCAAAATTCTTCCATATGCTATGTTTAAGACAAATACCTAAAACCAAAAGAAATAATTGTTGAAAATATGGAAATTTTACATTTTAAGTAGGAAATTAAGAATTTCCTATTTAAAATTTTAGATGAGAAATTTTTAAACAGGAAAATGATATAGCAGGAAAATGTAAATAATATCAGTGGTAGTTAATATCAGATAGGTTGAATATAAGCAAAAAACAAGCAAACAGAAAAACTCAGAAATTAATGTTAGCTCCCTTCCCAAATAGAACTGATAAACAAAACCAAGACTGTATTTGAAAATACAAATAAAATAGGCAAATGTTTGGCAAATCCAATTAAGGAAATAAGGGGGGAAACTCATACAGATATGCAGCATCAGACATTAGAAAAGAAGTATAACTACAGATGGGGAGAGATGCCACAAATTGAGTATAAAAATTAGTGGTCATAATGTTAAATATCTTGATGAAAAGGAATATCTTCTATGAAAATATAAATGACCAGAATTGACTTGAATAATCAAAGAAAAAATATTGTGTAAGAATAACCCAGTCTCCAAAAGGTACCATTAGTGTTACAGGTACATTTTTCCAAATCTACAAGTAACAGGCACTTCCTGTATAATTTAAACCAGGGGTGTCCAATCTTTTGACTTCCCTCGGCCACATTGGAAGAAGAATTGTCTTGGGCCACACATAAAATACACTAACAATAGCTGATGAGCTAAAAAAAAAAAAAAATCACAAAAGAAACCTCATGTTTTAAGAAAATTTACAAATTTGTGTTGGTCCACATTTGAAGCCATCCTGGGCCTCCTGCAGCCCATGGGCCACAGGTTGGACAAGTTTGATTTACACTGTTCTGGAAAAGCTAGACTTAGAAAAGCCACCTTTTTTTGGAGGCTGAAATAACCATGATACAGAAAGATAGTCTAAAAATAGAAAACTATACCCCATAGAGGTGCCCAAACTCTAGGGCAAGCATTGGCAAATCCTCTCTGGTAGTGTCTTGAAGGAACAAATGTGAGTGGGTAGGGCTCGCCGTGGGGTGCAGGGAGGGGGTCAGCCCAGGATAGCACAGCAGGAGTGCACAGAATCAGCATGATGGCCAGGATTTCAGCTCTGAGGGCATTTCACACAAATCTCATACCCATTCCTGCTTTAGAAAACAAACAGATACTTCTTCACATGGTGGAGAAGAGTCAGAAGCAATACTTATTGGAGAAGAACTTGGGGTATTTTAATTAAGTCAAGAATCAGACATTCACTACTGATATCTGCACTGTTTAGAGCTTTGGATCAGTGCACACAAAGGGCCGATAGAAAAAGTACATAGATTGGAAAAGAAGTAATAAAAAGATATTTTAAATGTATGAGTTATGTTATACATGATTATATACAACATACATAGAATATATAAAAGATTAAACAAGAAATATTAGAACTAATGAGTTAAGTTGATTGCTTTTGTGAGACTGTGGCAGGAAAATTGCTTGAGATGAGGAGCTTGAGACTAGCCTGGGCAACATAGCGAGACCCCTTCCTTACAAAAATAAAAAATAGAAAAATAAGCTGGGCATGGTGGCTCATGCCTGTAGTTCCAGCTACTCGAAAGGCTGAGGCAGGAGAATTACTTGGACCTGGGAGGTCAAGGCTGCAGTGAGCCAAGACCATGCCATAGCACTCCAGCCTGGGCAGCAGAATGAGACTCTGTCTCTTAAAATATGTTTGTGTGTGTGTTTGTATATATGTGTGTGTGTTTATGTGTATATAGGTATATATACATGTGTATGTGTATATATATGTATGTGTGATGTGTGTAATATAAATATATACACATACTCACATGTATAATGGAAAATTGTAACAAAAAATGAAAATAACTTGAAATAAATTCAACCAGGAATGTACAGGATATATAAGGAAAGAATATAAAGGCATAACAAAAAATTTACTATGCTTTTATAGAGGATGTCTCAATATTGTGAAGACAGTATCTCAAAAATGGTTTGTAAATTTTATATAAGTCCAGTAAGATCTCCATGAGACTTTTTTTTTCTTTTTGGAGATTGGCTGATTATTTTAAAATTCGTTTTGAAAAATACATATGTGAAAATAGCTAAGCAACCTTTGAGAAAGTATAGAGGGTGACCTTTCTCAGTATTTAAAAATATTATACTGTTGCAGGACTAAACACATCAATAAAACAGTAGAACAAGTGGTTTCAAAGTGCCAGTTCATTGATTTGGCATATCAAAAACTCCAGGAGGAGCTTTTTAACTGTACAGGTTCTGGGGTCCCACTCCTGATTCCATAGTTTTTGGCAGGTCCTAGGATTTGTATAGGTCCACATGATTCCCATTATGATGTGCAGCTGTATTTGAGAGCCTGTAATCTAAGATGCCTTTTGCAACAAGAACAAGAAACAAAAGGACACATGAACTGTTAGTTGAGCTGACAGGATTCTTAGGATAAATAGTTTAAGGGTTGGAAGAAAAGCTTTTCTAGGGGATGGGGAGGAAGTATCTTTAGGATGTGAGGATATGTGCCATTGTGGTGACGTGGTCACTGCTGGGACAGGTTCGGGAATCATAACCAACATCACAGGGTGTGGGAGGATGAGGTAATGTAGTAAGAAGAACGACTATTCTGGGTTGCAAAATTTTAGGAGACTGGTACATTGGCATCATAGAAAGGGCCGTGTGTGTTGACATTGGCTAAGCTTCTCTGTGCACTGACTGTCCCCTCCAGTCGACTCCCTTTCCTGCATGGTAACATCCCATGTCCCTGGATGAGTAGGGGGGCATTTCTTGACAGTGATAGATGGGGTAATTTTCCAGATGTTACCCTTGACCTCAGGTTGTTGGTTTGTCTTCGGGGATCTCATCCAGTTATGATGAAAGCCCTGGCTGGGCTGACCCCTGCATCTTATAAACATAGAGCTGCACAGGGTGACCTTCAGGATCTGGCATCTGTAGACAAGGTGAACACTATGCAGTAAATCCCACCTAGAAGATACAGGGATGACGTGGAATTCCAACACCCGAATCCTGCCCCACCTTCCAAAGGAATGGGTAAACACTGTAATATTGAAGGTTGGCAGTGGTGAGCGTGAACCATATTTGTTGTAAAGACATGTAAGATATTCACTGTCATGAAACCACTGCCCTGTGAACCAAATGAGAGTGGAACCATGCCAGTCTGTTGAGGTGAGTGTACCAAGCTCACTGACTTGAGGCCTTCTTCCCATCCAAGAGCCAAGTAAAGTAGGTCCCATGGAGTGGGAAAGGGTTCTAGGAGGTGCCACCGAGGAGAGGTGAGCCTCCTGCCTTACGTCGTGGCAGGCGTTGCCATATGAGGGCCAGTTTCCCCATTTTCTCCTCCATGGACTTTTCCCCAGTTTTCTTCTTTTCAGAACTCTTGATTTTTCCACATTCTTTGTAATATAAATTAGGAAGAGTATAAACTATGGCTGGCATACAAAATATTTAAGTTACTGATTGTCTACTTCTTGATTTTTAAAGCACTGTTAGTATGGCTCATGTGTGGTTATATGTAATTTACCATTAAAGGTAAAATTCACCTAACATCTTCACCCTGATTATTTCTTCTTAGTGAGGCACAACTGGGAGACAATGACAAAAGCGATTCAGAACCACATCAGCTCTCTAAACTGGGGCTACAGGTTGTCTCTGAGGGAAAAGGCTGTGGCCTATGTCAATTCCTATGGAGAATTTGTTGAACATCATAAAATAAAGGTAGTGCTTGAGTTTCTTGTCTTGTTCATCTCCTTTCTTTACAATTGTTTATACTTGCCTTCAACTAAAATTTCATGTTGCATGTTAAGGGGTGTAACAGGCGTGCGTGCACACACACACACACGGCCATGCATGTGTGTGTGTTTCTCCCCTATTGTTTGCTAATTCTACATGTTTGGTTAACTTGAAGAAATTGTGTTTTAAAGAACTCTTAATTAAAAATTATTTGTCTTTGATTTTATTGCCGTCTTAAAAGAGAACATGTTTAAACTAAGTAGTTCAAAGTTTAAAAGACTAAAAAGATCAAAATTTTATTAGTGGAATCCTTCCTAAAAATGAAACCTTAACTAGAACTCCAATATTATATTATTCATAAAAGCATTGATAAAGTAGCATTAGAATTAGTGTGTTTTATAAGTTTATCTTTGTAATATTTATATATTATTAGATTAATACATATGGAAAATGAGATCATTTTGAGGAACACAAACAGTTTAATTGGAATTATGACAATCAGATATTGTCCTCATCATCTAGTTTATTTTTGTACTTTGTTAGCACAGTGTGAGATAATCTTCACAAGATTTTAGATTATTTTGTATTCAGCTGTTATCTCAGAAATGTGTGAGGTATGGTCCATTTAAAGCTGCCCTTCAATGCTTATTTTCAGCATTTTATTTAAATTTTTTTAATTTAACAGGAAATTGGGAGTATAACACAGTAAATATCCAAATATTCAATTCCTAGGTTTAACGGTTGTTATCATTTGCCATATAATCTATATTTTGGATGATGTGCTTTATTCAGTTAAAGATATATTTCACCCCTAAAAAAATATAATAGGATAAAGTCAGCCCTTTAAAACCTTACATGGGCCAATTTGAATTATATTATTTACATGAAACACAGCAGAAATACATGTTGTGTTTCTCAAATTGCCTGGCACACATGGTTGAATAAGCCCCAACCAAGCCTGCCTGTTGTGTGGCTCCTTGTTTAGTGATGCTAGCACATTCCCAGTCTGCAGGCGAGAAACTCCAGAGTCTCCGTTTCACCCCAGAGCCTGTACTTGCTTGTCTGTTTCAGAGCCCTTCTAAGCAAGGCTCTTTCTCCAGGCTCTGTTCTCCATCCCACTCATGATGCCAACCCACTTGTTTAAACACCTTCATTAATATTAGCATGTGAATGGTTTTTTTCTTTTTTTGTTGTTTCTTTTTTGTTGTTGCTTCTTTCTTTTTTTTTTTTTTTTGAGACAGAGTCTTGCTCTGTTACCCAGGATGGAGTGCAGTGGCGTGATCTTGATTCACTGCAACCTCCAGCTCCCGGGTTCAAGCAATTCTCCCACCTCAGCCTCCCAAGTAGCTGGGATTGCAGGCATATACCACCATGCCCAGCTAATTTTTGTGTTTTTTTAAGTAGAGATGGGGTTTCACCATGTTGGCCAGGCTGGTCTCGAACTCCTGACCTTGTGATCTGCCTTCCTCGGCCTCCCAAAGTATTTGAATTTTTTTAAAATGAAAATGTATTTTTGAATTATTTGTATAATTAAAAATTGTGAGCAACCTTTGTTGGTTCCCCATAGCCTAAGTTGTTAGGATGACATAAGGGCCTTCGCACTTGGCTCTAGTCTGTTTCATGTGACTTCTGACACAACCCTGCTCTCCAGTCTTCAAACACCAACTCCTCCTGGGCTCATGTGCTTTTGTGCGCATTGTTCTGTCTTCCAGGTCTCCGTTCCTCTCCCATCATTTCATTTTTCTTATCTCCACTTGAAAATCTCTACTCCTTCTTTAATACATCCTTGATTGGCTTTCTAGTCCACTACCCTACCCTCACCATGGGGCTTTGATTAATATTTCATAAAGACTTCTGTTTTCTGTGCTTGTGCTTATCACATTGCATTATTACTTTTTCACATGTCTGCTGTTGCTGTTGAATGAGAAGCTCCATGAGGGTAGTAACTATTTTGTCCAGGGTGTCTGGTACTCTGTAGTGTTTGCTAAGTGAGGTTTACTTCTCTTTTTTCAAGGCAACCAATAAAAAAGGACAGGAGACTTATTATACTGCTGCACAGTTTGTCATAGCAACGGGTGAAAGGCCACGGTATTTAGGAATCCAAGGAGATAAAGAATACTGTATTACTAGGTAAGGTTAAATAGACTATTTTAACTTTAATGTTAATAAATTGAATTATATTGACATGTTTCCAGTTTACTTCCTGTCTTATTCCACAAAAGATTTGAATTAACAAATGAAAATATATACAATGCAAGAAGCTAAATAGTTAAAAGTAATGAAACAGAGAATATAAGGTCAGGTAAATAAGGCCAGTGGCAAAATTTATGTACAAAAATATGCCGTGTGTGTCTCGGTGATTCCTAGAAGTAGCCTGGGAGTTTTGTTCTAAACTTCTTACAGGCCAAAACAAAGAAGTAAATACAGTTAGCTCTAGGGGTTAGTGTCCTTATGATAAAAATGAGCCAGCTGGGGAGGAGCAGCACCACTTTTCTTAACACTGAGATTTAATGGGAATATTCCTTAGTGGTCAAACAGGACATGTGTGTAATGACTTGCAAACTTTTTTGAGCTGACTCACATTAAGAAATACATTTTTTGTTGCAGTTTTTTGTTCAGGTAAACAAACACACACCTCTTCACATAGCACATACGTACATACATCTCCAAAACAAACAGGTTTTTTTTTTTATCACATGTAATGTAGTCTGATATTTTCTATACTATTTTATTTTTTAAAAAATCTTGCTTGTGGTCTGATTTAGAAAAATCTGAGGTATACTTCTTGTTCCACATTCTCTCCACAGCAGACTCAATTACAAATTTCAAAAGGCTGTTGCTTCATTCAAGCACTAAATTATAATTCAGTCATCACAAGACCATTATACACTGAAACATGAATAACTCATTTCATTCTTGCTGCCTAGGTATTCTTTTTTTAATTTTTATTTTTCAGTGATGACCTTTTTTCTCTGCCTTATTGCCCTGGCAAAACATTAGTGGTGGGTGCCTCTTATGTTGCCCTGGAGTGTGCAGGGTTTCTGGCTGGCTTTGGCCTAGATGTCACAGTTATGGTACGCTCAATCCTTCTCCGTGGCTTCGACCAAGAAATGGCAGAAAAAGTGGGTTCCTACATGGAGCAGCATGGTGTGAAGTTCCTACGGAAATTCATACCTGTGATGGTAAGGCTGCATGGCATTTGCAATTTTTTTTCTCTAACTTTTCACTTTATCTCACCTTACTTCATTTCATTACATAAATTAGTCTGTATTCAAATAATGTTAAAACAGTGTTTCCACTCCCAAGTCTACAGAGCCAACCCCATTTTCCCCCTCGTCCCCTCTTCTGATATAGGAGGTGTCCTTGCTCTTCTCAGAGGCTGAGTCCCCTCATCTCCCACTTTGTTTCACCTTTTCAAGGATGTTCCATCTTCAGTTAGTAGTTTTCTTTTTCCTTATTCTTATCACTGTCTCTCATCTTGAACAATTAAGCCTTCTTTTACCCTCACTGCCTTTCTGACTGGGTGCCTATTTTTCTTTCTCCTTTACAAAAAAACAAAGAACAACTCTGCATGCTGCTTCTAATTTCTTGACTCCATTTCACGCTTAGCTGACTGTCAGCTGCTTCCATCTCCTTCACTTCTTTGAAGCTGATTGTCAGGCTTTTAGCAAACTTCCTGTCATCAAATCCAGTGGTCATGTCTCTGTCCTTATCTTACTGGGCCTCTTGGCAGCATGCGCTGAAACTGGCCATTCATTTGAAGCACCTTCCTTTCTGGCTTCTGTGGCCCCACAGTCTATAGTTTTCCCATCTACAGCTACTCAACCTACAGACTCCAGCACCCATTTGTTTTCCTCTGGGTCCCTCTTCACTTCTGTGCACTTGCATTACCTGGATGATCTTCTCTAGGCCCATAGTTTTAAACATTATCTAAATGCTAATGATTCTCAGATTTATATCTCCTATTTAAGAGTCTCTCCTGAATTCCATACTCATTTATACTACTGCCTACTAGAAATTGCCACTTGAATTCCTCATAAGCATTTCAAACTTAACAAGACAAAAATGAAACTAGATTTTTTACCTAAATATTCTCCTGCTAATCTTTCTGGCCCATCTCAGTACTCAGTAAATGGTACTTAACACAGTATATTAAGCCAGTATCTAGGAATACCCCTTAATTTATCTTTTTATGCTCCCTCCAATCTCAACTAATTCATTAATTCATTTCTACCTCCAAAATATATCTGTGACAGTCCACTTTTCTCTATTTCTGCCTTATCCAGAAACCTTATACTAACACCTATTATATGTACCACCACCAAACACACAAATGTACACGAACATACCGGTGTAGACCCTTTCGTGTATTTCTTTTTTATCATATTTAGATAACATCATTACACTCTTCATTCTTACTAGGTTCAACAGTTGGAGAAAGGTTCACCTGGAAAGCTGAAAGTGTTGGCTAAATCCACTGAAGGAACAGAAACAATTGAAGGAGTCTATAACACAGTGAGTTTTTATTTTATCATTACTAAGTTATTGAACACACTCCTAAATTAACAGAAATGAAACTTATGGGAAAATTATACCAGGATTAACATTTTTTTACTTTTTTTATTCTTTGTAAGAGCATTATCATAGAAGATAATTTGGCTACTGACATTTGAGTTTTCAGTAATGCATGAGGAATACCACGGTAAAGTATGTGTGTATGCGACTGTATGTAAAATTTGGAAGCACATATATCCAGATGTGTGCTTACTTTTGGAAAATTAGATATTTTATACATTTCTTAATTTGAATATTTTTGCAATAAATATTGAATATATTTTATAATGAAAAACAACAACAAAGCTATTTTTCTTTCTCAAAAACAAACAGTACAAAATCTCCAAACAATGTGAAATAACCCATGGAATACTTTGGAGGCCAACAATTCTTTTGTAATTAGTTTATAGTTTTGACAGAAACTATACATTTATGTTTTATATACTCTTTTTATGTAGAAATTTTTTCAGTTAAAAAAATGCAGCGTAGAGAAAGAACATCAACAAAGCAAAAAAACATGTAACAAAACCAAAATCCAAAAATCAACCTTATTGAGATTTTGATTAGGATTGGATTGGATATATAGGAAAATTTGGAAACACTTGACTTCTTTGCAATATTCAGTCTTCCCACCCATGAACATGGTATATCTATCCATTAATTTAGATCTTCTTTAATGATTCCCAGCAAAGTTAATACATTTCTCCTTAGAGATCAAGAATATCTGTTAGATTTATTACTAGATACTTATGTAATTTATATGTAGTCACAAATGGTATTTTTTTTGAAAATGTCACTATCTTTAAGTGTTTCTAGTGTATACAAATGCTGCTCATTTTTGTGTTTTGATTTAGTATTCAGTAATCTTGCTAAACTCTTACTGAAAAATTTATCCTTAGATTGTTTCAGATTTCCTGTGTACACATTTATTTATTTGTGAATAATAACAGTTTGTTTCTTCCTTTTTACTGGTTTTCTCTTTTTTTCTTGTATAAATGCATTAGTTAGGACCTCCAGTACAGTCCTGACAAGAAATGGCAATAGCAGGCACTCTTGTCTTATTTACAATATCAAAAGAAAAGACGTTTCACTAAAAAGCAATGTTTTCTGTAGGGTTTTGTTATATGCTGTTAATCAAGTTAAGGAGCTCGTTTTCTATTTTTTGTTACCTAAGTGTCTTTTTGTTTATGTTGTTTTGTATATTTAAGAAGGAATGTATGTTCAATTATAACAGTGTTTCGTTTGCAGCTGTGGATGATGAATTTTTTCTTTAATCTGTTAATTTGTTGAATTGCATTGATTTTCTAATATTCAACCAACTTTGTATCCTTTGTATAAACCCAACTTGGTAATGTTGGACTTCGTTATTTAGAATTTATGCATTTATATTTATGAATCATATTGGCTTGTAATTTTCCTTTTACATATTGAACATTTTAATTTTAGGTTTGAGTATCAAGGTATTCCTGCTCATGAAAGAATTTTGGAGTATGTTTCCTCATTTCCTGTTTTCTGGCAAAGTTCATGTAACATTAGAATTGGTTCCTTGTATGTTTCATAGAATTTACTGATGCAACTGTCTATACCTATAATTTTCTATGGAGATATATTTGACCACTGATTAATTTCTTTAATAGTCAAAGGACTTTTAAGACTTTTTATTTTTTCCTTGATTTACTTTTGATTAGTTATATTTTTTTCCAGGAATTAGTCCATTTCATCTGAGTTTTCAAATGTATTGGTATGAAGTTGTCCATAATATCTAACTGTAAATTATTTTTGTAATGAGGTATAATATACATGTAGTGAAATCCACAGATCCTAGGTGTACAGTTCAGTCAGTTTTGACAGATGTCCACGTTCATGTAATCCACACTCCTTTAGGTAACAGAACATTTCTGTGAGTCCAGAAAGCGCTCTGTGCTTTTTCCCAGTCATCGACCCCCAAGCAACCACTATTCTGATTCTGTCACTACAGACTTATTTTGTTTGGTTTGCCTCTAAATCTCATATAAGTGGAATTGTACAGTATGTATTCCTTGTATCTGACTTCTTTTATTCAGATTGATGTTTTTAGGACTCATCCATGTTGTGTGCATCAGTAGTTCTTTTTATCGTATAGATTTTATTAATGTAGCAGTTTATTCATTTTCCTGTGGGTAGATACCTAGCCTCTTTGCAGTTTGGACTATTGTGATTAAAACTGCTGTGAAGATTCTTTGTGGAAAGCTTTTTATGGAGAGATATATAGAGAGAGATGGTTTCACTCTGTCACCCAGGCTGGAGTGCAGTGGTGAGATCAAGGCTCACTGCAGCCTCCAACTCCTTGGCTCAAATGATCCTCCCAACCCAGCTTCCCTAGTTGCTAGGACCACAGGCACATGCCACCATGCCTGGCTAATTTTTTTTTTTTTACGGTTGGGGTCTCACTGTGTTGTCCAGGCTGATCTTGAACTCCTAGCCTTAAGCAAGCCTCCTGTCTTGGCCTCTCAACATGCTGGGATTATAGGCATCAGCCACTGCTCCCAGCCAACATATATTTTAATTTCTCTTTGACAAATACCTAGGAGTGAAATTGCTTGATCATGGGATGGTTTTTACTTTTTAAGAAACTACCAAACAGTTTCCCAATGATTATGCCATTTTGTATTTCCATCAGCTATATGTGAAGGCCTAGTTGTTCCAGACCCTTAGGACTTTTAGGGGCATCTGGCTTTCTCATTCTAGGCATTCTAGTGAATGTGTAGAGGTATCTTATAACTTTAATTTGCATCTCCCTGATGACTAATGATGTAGAGCAATTTTCATGTGTTTATTGGCCATTCATGTATATTTTCTTTGAAGTGTTTGTTCAAGTCTTCAGCCCTTTTTTATTGGATCGTTTGAATTTTTATTGAATTGCAGGGCTTCTATATATCTTGGGCATATTCCTTTTTCAGATATATGTATTTTGAATATTTTCTTCACGTCTGTGACTTGCCTATGTATTTTTCAGTAGTATCTTTGGGTTAACAGTAGTTTTAAATGTTTATGAAGTTCAATTTTATTAGTATTTTACTTTATGTTTCATGCTTTCTGTGTGCTCTAAGAAATCTTTGCTAACCCAAAGGTCATGGAAGTATCCCTTTGTTTGCTTCCTGAAGCTTTATAGTTTTAGCTTTTATGTTTAAGTCCATAATCTACCTTGAATTTTTTTAGTAAATAAATTAATTCTCATTCATTTTAATTAGAATTCATTTTAATTAGATTTAAGTTGCTTTTGGTTTTGGAGACTTTTGAAAAGAAAACTGAATTAGGTCCATTTCACTGTCCGTTGATTCCTTTTCCTGAAAGTTGTGTGATGCTGGCAGATCATCTCGAAGCTCTGCAATAACATCTGTCTTGATTTTCCATTCTGCAGCTTTGTTTTGAACATGTTTTCTAGTTGAAGATTTGGGTAAAGAATATACTGCTGTTCAAATCAAAACCACAATGAGATACCATCTCACACCAGTTAGAATGGCGATCATTAAAAAGTCAGGAAACAGGTGCTAGAGAGGATGTGGAGAAATAGGAACACTTTTACACTGTTGGTGGGACTGTAACTAGTTCAACCATTGTGGAAGTCAGTGTGGCAATTCCTCACGGTTCTTGAACTAGAAATACCATTTGACCCAGCCATCCCATTACTGGGTATATACCCAAAGGATTATAAATAATGTTGCTATAAAGACACATGCACACGTATGTTTATTGCAGCACTATTCACAATAGCAAAGACTTGGAACCAACCCAAATGTCCAACAATGATAGACTGGATTAAGAAAATGTGGCACATATACACCATGGAATACTATGCAGCCATAAAAATGATGAGTTCATGTCCTTTGTAGGGACATGGATGAAGCTGGAAACCATCATTCTGAGCAAACTGTTGCAAGGACAAAAAACCAAACACTACATGTTCTCACTCATAGGTGGGAATTGAACAATGAGAACACATGGACACAGGAAGGGGAACATCACACATCAAGGCCTGTTGTGGGGTGGGGGGAGGGGGGAGGGATAGCATTAGGAGATATACCTAATGTTAAATGACGAGTTAATGGGTGCAGCACACCAACATGGCACATGTATACATATGTAACTAACCTGCACATTATGCACATGTACCCTAAAACTTAAAGTATATTAAAAAAAAAAAGAATATACTGCTGTTCTTGCCATTTCCAAAGTGGTCTTTGGAAAAGCCATGTCTGTCCCTTTATTATTTTTGGTCCCAAAAGGAGGATTCAAAATTGCTGTCTCAACTGACTTGGACATTCCATTAGATAATGAGCACACATCACGTTGAACCATGCCAACATATGTTAATTCAGACTCTTCCACATGCCTATTAAATATTCCTAGTGCACCTGCATCTATGTCAAATCCAACATACAACCTGGCTCCTAACATTGCAGTTCCAAGACTAAGCACTCCACAGCCACATCCTAGATCTGCAGCCACTTTATTTTCTACCTCATCACATGTGTTATGGATTGTATAGAGCATACGTGCTTCACTGTGTAGTTCTTTTCTTTCCGTGTGGATATCCAGTACCATTTGTTGAAAAGACTTCCCTTTCTTTATTGAATTGCTTTGGAATCTTCAATGAAAGACCATTTAACCCAGCACTTTGGGAGGCCGAGGTGGGCAGGTCACAAGGTCAGGAGATCGAGACCATCCTGGCTAACACGGTGAAACCCCGTCTCTACTGAAAATACAAAAAAATTAGCCGGTCATGGTGGCGGGCGCCTGTAGTTCCAGCTACTCAGGAGGCTGAGGCAGGAGAATGGCGTGAACCCGGGAGGCAGAGCTTGCAGTGAGCCGAGATCACGCCACTGCACTCCAGCCTGGGTGCCAGAGCAAGACTCCATCTCAAAAAAAAAAAAAAGAAAGACCATTTAACTGTGGGTCTATTTCTGTGCTCTTCTCATAGACCGTTTGTCTGTCCTTTCCCCAGTACCACATTGTTTTGATTACTGAAGCTCAGTGGTAAGTCTTAGATCAGGTAGAGTGAGTCCTCTAATTTTGTTTAGATTGTTTGCATTTCTATATAACTTTTAAAAACAGCTTTTTAATTTTTAGAAACAAAAGTCTGCTGGGATTGTGGCTGGAATTGTCTTTTTTCCATAGTCAGTTTGGAAGAACTGACTTTTTAACAATATTGATTTTTCCAACATATGAACCTCATATGTTTTTCCATTTATTTGTGTATTCCTTAGTTCCTCTCAGCAATGTTTTATCATTGGGCTCTAGAGGTCTTTCACATATTTTGCTAAACATACTTCATGTTTTTAAAGCTAACATAAATGGCATTTTTAAATGGTTGGTTGGTAGTGTATAAAAATACAGTTTTTTTTATATTGACCTTGTAGCTTCTTAGGATTCATATCTACAAATAAAAACAATTTTGTTTCTTCCTTTCCAGTCTGCATGCTTTTAATCTTTTTTTTTTTTTTTTTTGGCCTTGTTTCACTGGCTAATACCTCCAATACAGTGTTGATTAGAAATGGTGAGAATGGGCATGCCTGTCTGGTTCCTGGTGTTAGGGGTGAAGCATTGAGTCTTGTATCATTGCCAGGATGTGACCTGTAAGTTTGCTACACTTGCCTTTTATCTGGTGACGAAAATTGTCTTTTCTTTTATTCCGAAGATTTTAATTATGAAAGAGTGTTTTAATTTTGTGAAACGCTTTATTGCATCTATTGAGATGGTTGAATTGTTTTCTCCTTTATTCTGTTAATATGATGAATTACATTGATGGATTTTTGTATGTTAAACCAAATTTGCATTTTGGGGACAAACTCACTTGATCACGAACAATTATCCTTTTTATATATTGCTATGTTTGACTTGCTAACATTTCATTAAAGATTTTACATCTATATTCATGAGGAGCGTTGGCTTGTGGATTTCTTTTCTTTTAATGCACTTGTCTGATTTTGGTGTCAGCTGCTTATATTGGCCTCATAAAGGAGTTGGGAAGTACTCCCTTTTTCTCTTTCCTGAAAGAGTTTTTGTACCATTAGCATTATTTCGTACTTAAGTATTCCATAGACTTTCCTATAGAAGCTGTCTGGGTCTGGAATTAATTTATGAGAAATTTACAAGTTGAGAATTCAGTTTCTTTAATGGTATAGGACATATTAGTTTGCCAGGGCTGCCATAGCAAAATACCGCAGACTGTGTGGCTTAAACAACATTTATTTTCTCACAGTTCTGGAAGAGTACCACAGACCAGGGGGCGTAAACAACAGAAATGTATTTCTCACAGTTCTAGAGGCTGGAAGTCTAAGATCAAGGTGTTGACAGGGTTGGTTTCTTCTGAGGCCTCTCTCCTAGGCTTGTACATGACTGTCTTCTCCTTGTGTCCTCACATGGTCATCCTTTGGTCTGTGTTGCCCATGTCCTCCTCTTCTTATAGCACACCAGTCATACTGGATTAAGGCACACCCATATGACCTATTTTACCTTAATTACCTCTGTAAAGGCTCTGTCTCCAAATATAGTCACCCTTGGAGGTACTTAGAGATAGGATTTCAGCATATGAATTTTGAAGGGACATAATTTAGCCTGTAGACTTTTCAGACTTGTGAAGTTTGGTAAGTTGTGTCTTTTAAGGAATCTATTTCACCTTAAGCTGTCAGCTTTATTGGCATAGATTGTTTGTAATATTCCATTATTACCCTTTTAATGTCTGAAGGATCTATAGTGATGTTCCTTCTTTCATTCCCGATATGGATAATTTGTGTTTTTGATTTCTCTGCAAATGCAGGTTTTGTTAGCTATTGGTCGTGACTCCTGTACAAGGAAAATAGGCTTGGAGAAGATTGGTGTCAAAATTAATGAGAAGTAAGTATATTGGGATCACTGCACTGTTGCTGCACAAAGCAACAGGTTTCTGCAGATCACCTCTAAGAAATTCTCATTTAATTACTGAGATATGTCTTAATTTATCTTATAAGTTCAGTGCCAGCTCTTTATAATCAATTTCTTCATCAATCAGTAACTCTTACTTAAAAAGCTCATATGCCTTAAAAAGCTCATATATTAAACAATGACTTTAAGAAATAATTGCAGAGATATATTTACCTAATGTCTGTGACTTAGAGCACATCTTTATGTCCTTGGTCAGGGAAAGAGATAAATTCCAAAGCTCTAAGTGAGTCTGTGGAGGCAGTCTATAGATATCCTTGGCATCCAGGAAATGCCTGTGGTTTCACCAGAGATATTTTCTTTTGGAGCTACAGAAACCCTTGTTACTTTAAGTCATTGACCTTATATATAATTGATATCCTGAGGTGCGTGAATTTTAAGAGGTCTTCTATGTATTTAGTCTTTTGGCTAATAGTATTAGTCAGCCAGCAGTGTAGAGTGAGTTGTAATATATATTTTTTCCCATTTCAAAAACTAATAGGAGTGGAAAAATACCTGTAAATGATGTGGAACAGACCAATGTGCCATATGTCTATGCTGTTGGTGATATTTTGGAGGATAAGCCAGAGCTCACTCCTGTCGCCATACAGTCAGGCAAGCTGCTAGCTCAGAGACTTTTTGGGGCCTCTTTAGAAAAGGTAAGTTTCTTACTGTTTTTGAGATAATGTCCTGATCAAGATCATGATTTTTAAAACTAATACAAGTAAAACTTGTGTGCCTGTTTTCCAAGTAAAGGGTTCCTCAGAGATATAATTTGCAGTAGACTTACTATTTACTAATGGATTAAAATAAGTATTTTTGAGTGTCCACTGTGTGCAAGATGTTGTGCTGGGTGATACACAAAGCACTGGCCATGGTCAGCCCCAGGGGCTTACCAGGTAGGTGGGATCATGAGTCAGGCAGGCACAGGCTGAGCAGAAGGCAGAGTGTGGTTGTGTGCCAGAGTGCTGTCAGCAGGTTGCTCTAGGGACACTGAAGGGATGTTTAATTCTAGCTGCAGGGAGGGGAAAGCCTTCATAAGTGGACTGTTGCACTGTAATAGCATAGGAGCTCTTGGCATGAATCAGGATTCTGGTCCTGGCTTCAGTGCCCACTTGGCCTGTAAACATGGTCAGGTTGTTTAACTTCTGAGGATCTTCTTAATTTCATCATCGACAAAGCCAAGGATGTGAATCAGATGATTTCTACAGAGGATTTCCACTTTTCATATTTTTAAATCAAATAATTTGGGATGAGCTTTATAGGATGAGTAATTCAAAATTGAGGAAGCGGAGGACTTTTCAGGTGGGCAGATAACTCGGCTAAGGACGCAGAGACCTGTAGTGCTTGGCTCGTGCTAAGGACTATGAGTAGTGTCCCAGGAGCTTTCAGCTGGGGAAGTACTGCTCAGCTCTGTTAGGAGCTCTGTGGCCGTGTGGTGGAGTTGGCGGGAGACGGATGACTGGGGAAGGGCCCTGCTGCATTAGTGGGTGGGGTCAGGAATGCTGAGTATACCATCTCATGCAAAGAAAAATTGTCCCAAACACAATGCAATAGAACATTTTGCAATGTGTGTAGGCAGAGTAGTTGGTGATAGGGAAGTACAATTGGGAAGGAGGCTGGAAAACTAATTTGGTGCCAGATCATCAAAAATCTTTGCCACAAAGAAGAATTGGTAGGGCCTTCTCTAGGCAGTAGGGATCTGTTGAGACCTTTATTTCCCCCAACTTTTTATTTAGAAAGATGTCAAAAGACAGAAAGAGTAGTAAAACAATCGCCCATATTGAACCTTTCACCCAGATTCCCCAGTTATTCACATCCTGCTGTTTTTGTTCTGTCTCTCCTTTTCTGAATATGTGTATGTGTAGTTCATATTCCTTTTTTGTTTTGCTGAGCTTTTTGCTGCCACTTTTTGAAGTGGCAGGCATCAATGACATTTTTCTCTAACTACTTCAGTATATATCTCCTAAGTACAAGGATGTTTACCTCCGTAACTGCAGTTCTGTTGCCATATCTGAGAAGTTCAACAAAAGTACTATAATATTCAATTTCCCCAGTTGTTCCTTAAGAGTGTTTGTGTGTGATTTTTTTTTTTTTTTTTTTTTTGAGACAGAGTCTCGCTCTGCCGCCCAGGCTGGAGTGCAGTGGCTCGATCTCTGCTCACTGCAAGCTCCGCCTCCTGGGTTCATGCCATTCTCCTGCCTCAGCCTCCCAGGTAGCTGGGACTACAGGCGCCTGCCACCACGCCCAGATAATTTTTTGTGTTTTTAGTTGAGACGGGGTTTCACTGTGTTAGCCAGGATGGTCTCAATCTCCTAACCTCGTGATCCGCCTGCCTCAGCCTCCCAAAGTGCTGGGATTACAGGCATGAGCCACCGTGCCCGGCCAAGAGTGTGTGTGTGTTTTGATTTGCACAGTACATGTGGCTCTTTTGACGCTTCAGTACATGTGGCTCTTATGACGCTTAAGTCTCTTAATCTGACACAGTCCCCCTGCCTTTGTTTTTTATTTTCTATGACAGTGACTTTTTTCCTTTTATTTTTAGTTGACACATAATGATTGTACATATTTATGGGATACAGAGTGATATTTTGATACACGTATACAATGTGTAATGATCAAATCAGGGTAGTTAGCATATCCATTACCTCAAACGTTTGTCATTTATTTATGTGGGAACATTCTGTTATATCCTCTTTTAGCTTTTTGGAAATATGCAATGAATTCTTGTGAATTATGTTCACCCTACAGTGCTGTAAAGCACTAGGACTTAACTCCTCCTGTTTAGCTGTAATTTTGTGTCTATTAACCAACCTCTCCCCATCCTCCCCTTTACCCTACCCTTCCCAGCCTCTAATAACCACAATTCTACTTTCTACTTCTATAAGATCAACTTTTTTAGCTCCCACATATGAGTGAGAACATGCAGTATTTGTCTTTCTGTGCCCAACTTATTTCACTTAATACAATGTCTTCCAGGCTCATTCATGTTGCTATGAATGATCAGATTTTATTCTTCTTTATGGCTGAATAGTATTTAATTGTGTTTATATACTACGTTTTCTTTATCCATTCATGCATTATGGATGCTTAGGTTGAGTCCATTTTTTCCTGTTTTGAATAGTGCTGCAGTAAACATGGGTGTGCAGATATCTTTTTGATACACTGATTCTTTCCTTTCGATAAATATTAGTACTGGGATTGCTGGATCATATGGGGTTCTGTTTTTAGTATTTTGAAGACCCTCCATACTGTGTTCCATAGTGGCTGTGTTAGTTTCCATTCTCACTAACAGTATGTAAGAGTTCCCTTTTTTCCACATCCTCACCAGCCTTTGTTATTTTTTGTCTTTTTGATAATAGCCATTCTAACCAGGATATGGTATCTTATTGTGGCTTCAATTTGCATTTTCCTGATGATTAGTGATACTAAGCATTTTTTCATATACTTGTTGCCCATGTGTATGTCTTATGAGAAACATCTGTTCAGATCCTTTGCCCATTTTTAAATCAAATTCTTTTTTTTTTTTTTTTTTTTGGCTCTGAGTTGTTTGAGTTCCTTGTGTAGGGATATTAGCACCTTCTCAGATGGATAGTTTACAAATATTTTCTCCCATTTTACAGTTGTCTCTTTACTCTGTTGATTGTTTCCTTTGCTGATTGCAGAAGCTTTTTAGTTTGATACCGTCTCATTTGTCTGTTTTCATTTTGTTGCCTGTGTTTTTGAGGTCTTACCTATAAAATCTTTGCCTAGACCAATGTCCAGAAGGATTTCTCCTGTTTTCCTCTAGTAGTTTTATAATTTGGGGACTTATATTTAAGTCTTTAATTCATTTTGAATTGATTTTTCCACATGGTGAGATATAGAGGTACAGTTTCATTCTTCTACATATACTGTTTTCCCACTACCATTCACTAAATATGATGTCCTTTCTCCAGTGTATGTTCTTGGTTCCTTTGTCAAAAATTAATTAGCTGTAAATATGTGGTTTTATTTCTGGGTTCACTGTTCTGTTCCATAGTCTATGTGTCTGTTTTCATATTACTATCATGCTGTTTTGGGTACTATAACTTGTAGTATATTTTGAAATCAGGTAGTGTAATGCCTCCAGCTTGATTCTTTTTGTTCAGTATTACTTTCGCTATTTGGCTTCTTTTGTGGTTTCATAAAAATTTTAAGATTGTTTTTTCTACTACTGTGAAGAATGTGATTGGTATTTTGATAGAGATTGGATTGCATCTGTAGATTGCTTTGAGTAGTGTGGTCATTTTAACAATATTAATTCTTCCAATCCATGAGCATGGGATATCTTTCTACATTTTTGTACCTTCTTCAGTTTCTTTCACCAGTGTTTTGCAGTTTTCATTGTAGAGTGGTTTCACCTACTTGATTAAATGTATTCCTAAATATTTTATTTTTTGTAGCTATTATAAATGGAATTGCTTTATTGATTTCTTTTTCAGTTAGTTTGTTATTGGTGTATAGAAACACTGCTGATTTTTGTATGTTGATTTTTGTATCCTGCAACTTCATTGAATTTATCAGTTCTAAGAATTTTTGGTGGAATCTTTAGGTTTTTCTACATATGAGATCATATTGTCTGCAAAGAGGGACAGTTTCACTTCCTGTTTTCCCAGTTTGGGTGCCCATTATTTCTTTCTCATCCTGACTGCTCTGGCTAGGACTTCTAGTACTGTGTTGAATAAGACTGGTGCCAGTGGGCATCCTTGTCTTGCTCCAGTTCTTAACTCTGACTTTTTTATGAATCCAGGTTACTTTTCTTGTAGAATGTCCCACTTTCTGAATTTCTCCAGTTGTTTTTGCATGAGTGTGTTCAGATGAAGAGGTTTGGGCACGGATTCTCCATGAGGAATGCCATGTTCTGCTTTGCTTCATCCCCCAGGTACCTGCCAAGGCCTTGCATGGAGACCTTGTGGGTGGGTGTATTTGGTGCATGAAGCCAGCCACTGGGGAGGGGTCTCTGCTGGCATTAATGGATGGGGACCAGGAATGCTAAATTTGCAAGGAATTATCTCAACTGCAAATAACATTTTGGGGTGTATGTCGGCAGAGCAGTTGCCTGATGCTGTAAGGAGTTAATCATGGTGACTGTGGGGAGGAGGGATTAGAATATAGAGCAATATGTGTAGAGTATAAAGAAAGAGATGAAAGGCTCAAGACGGAAAGAAGCCTATAAGAAGGATAGCATGAGTCAAGTCCAGGTGAAGGAGATGATGTAAGATGTGGAGAAAGTTTTTAGGAGAAAGGGGCAAAGCTGAGCCATTTCCTGTTTATTTTTCTTAGTTGATATGAAACAGGAAACAAAGGCATCTATTAAGAATGAGGCCTCCCATGTAAGCTATGGAATCTAGGGTCAGCTGCCAGTCAATAAATGGATCGGCAACATGTGAGTGCCTCAGAGAAGTCAGAAAATACCCAGGCAGTTCACATAGTTATGTGATTTTGTCAGCCATGTTGGGAAAAGAAAATAAATTCTTGGCTTACCCATGGTTTGCAGGTAGGCAAATATGAAGTGGCATGAGAGTGTAAGAATCTAGGCTGATGGATAACTTACCTGTGTTGTATGCAAATCCTCTCATTGATTTGGGGGATACGTGGTGGTGTTTTGGTTTTCTTTGGGGTAACAAAGAATAGAAGCTCACTCAAACTAGGCAAATTGAGGGAGGTTACTGTAAGAATCCTGGGATTAATAGGTAGAATCACAGAGGAACCTAAAAAAAGAACTATACTAGGGCTGGGCCTGCCTGCATTTGGAGGTGGGGTCCCAGCTGCTCTGGGGCCCAGCAGCACAGTGGGGGGTTTGTACAGATGTGCTCCTCCTTGGCCTAACTTGGCGACAACTCTGCAGGTCCATTTCTTCCCGTTCCTCTACCACCTGGAAAATTCTCTTTCCTTCTAGTTAATTTTCCTATAAAAGAAAGAATTGGATTGACTCAGCCCACCTTTTTCTGCCATTCTGTAGATTTCTGGCCAGCTTATGTGTTGGCTCTTGTGAGATCAGATGGCTGTCCCCAGTCTAATCACTTGTGGCCATTGGCAGGGATTGGGGAACATACAGTGCTGTGGATGGTGGTGTCTTTTGAAGGGGCTGTGGCTGAGCAGGCACCTTCCACCTTTTCTCTGCCACCTACACACAGCTTTCTCTCCATGCACATGGTTTCATGGTTCACCCACCAAAGTATTCCAGCTCCTCTCCACACAGCCAGAGAGGCCCTCTCTTCTCCCAAGTTGGGGCCTTTCCTAGGCAGGAGTGCCACCTTGCAATGTCCATTCTTCTCTGACTCAGTCTGATAAAGGCTCTGGAGATGGTTCTTTCTTAACCCCTGGACTATAGAGATGACCTGTGGTCATCCTTGTCCCTGCGGTGTATTAGCACCCCCCTCCAGACACACTCACACATGTACCATCCCCCTTTGATGGTCAAGAACACTTAGTCCAGCACCGTTGAGCTGCATATTTGCCTCACCTCTCAGTGGCATAAGGAATATGAAATGGCCAAGAGGTGGTCTCAGCTTCCACTGAAGTAGCATAATTCAAGGTTGCCTGGAAGAAGTGCTCCAGGAGCAGAGCCCAGAATCATGGGCATGGAAAGAAAACATTTTGGAGAGTGTCTTTAGGGGCAGATGGATGGCACCACCTCCACCTCTTACTTCTGGTTCTTAGACCTCCGAGTCTGTGCTCCAGGAGAGCCGGTCCCATTTGTTGGTGGCTAGCCAGTGTGTGGTCTCTTCCCCTGAGTCAGGGGCCCATCCCAGATCTCTGTTAAGGTACCTTAGAGTTTTCCTGAAGCTGTTGATGTTTTAAGAATTGGTTACACTGAACTGGACTGATTTATTTTCTTTATATAAATATATGCAATATAGATTTTTGCTATAAAGTTTCACAAAATAAGACAATGTAATTTGTTTGTCTTTCAGTGTGATTATATTAATGTTCCGACTACAGTGTTTACTCCTCTGGAGTATGGTTGCTGTGGATTATCTGAAGAGAAAGCTATTGAAGTATATAAAAAAGAGAATCTAGAAGTAAGATTGTGTTTTATTACTTCCTTAAAAAATTCTCTTTTAATCAACAATTTATCTTTGCGGTCACTTTTTATTTCATCATTTTGCAAGTTACTATGATGGTTATATTGTAGGAAATCATATTCCTATTTTAGGAAAATTAGGAATTAATTTAAATCCTGTCTGTCTAGCAAAGAAGAGGAATATGGTTGGGAAAGAGGGAAGTGTAATCTATAAGTCAGGACACTTGAATTACAAGTAACAAAAATCTATTTGAGCAAACTTGTACAAGGAAGCTCAAAGTTATTTTAAGATCTTTTGGGACTGCAGGGGTAGGAATGGCTACGGGTGGTAAGGTGGGAAGTTCCAGGGTTGTCTGCCTGTGGGCTCTTCAGATTTCCAAAAGGACGCCCTCTACACACCTTTATTGCTACCTCTTGTTTACCCCCCAACCCTGTCCAATTATAACCTTAAAAATATTTTCTTACATCATTTCTTGCTGGGAAGTTTGATTGGCTTTTTTCTGCCTACTCTCCCAACTAGGAGGGAGAGGGAGGATAAAAAGAATTGGAGGGTTATTAATACTTGATATTTCAAGTAAAAGAGAATTGAAATCACAGTGCTTTCCCTTGATTGTATGATTTAATTTATTATTGAGAATGTATTTAAATCACAGCACTGATATTCCCTAGTTAAATGGCCTAAGGATTTAAGAAACTCCTATTTAAATTTCTGGTGCTGGGGAAATGTGTGATTAAAACTTTATAATGTTATTTTAGATGGTTATTTTTGAAATTTACATTTTAGAGAACATTATTTTATCAGCGTTTATAACTAACTGTTTATATAATAATAAGCTATCCTTTTTGCATTGGTTGGTCTTTATGTGGGTCTTGGAAAATTGATGATAGTAATTATGGATTTAACATTTAGTTTTAAAACTTTCTGAAATTAATGAAAAATTAAGGTAGGAAGATGTCAGGCACATGACAGGAAGGATGTACAAGCCTGTATCCCAGACAAAAGAGTATCTTTATAGGAAACAAGTTCCTCAAGTTTTGGGGATTACTTTAAGGTCTTTCCACCAAGGTTTGCTGCAGATCAACTCACCTGTTTTATTTATTTATTTATTGCATTTTGACAGGACTGAAAATGTGATCTGTTAGTATTTTTTTAAAGTTCCTATTATAGAGAAACACAAACACATTGTAGAGCTGTACAAAATAATTTCTTTCTTTATATCCTTATTCTATAAGCTTTTTTCTATTAATTTTTTTACTTCTTGTTTATAAAAAAATGAAGACACAAACACACACATTAGCCTAGGCCTACGCAGGGTCAAAAACATCAATATCACCATCTTCTCCCACCACATCCTGTCCCAGGGGTAGTAACACACATGGAGCTGTCACCTCCTATGATGACAATGCCTTCTTCTGGATACCTCCTGAAGGACCTGCCTGAGGCAGTTTTACAGTTAATTTATAAGTTGAAGGAGTACATTCTAAAATAATAGTAGAATGTATGGTATAATAAATACATACATCAGTATCATAGTCATATCACATTTATTATCTTTATCAAGTATTATGTACTGTACATGATTATATATGTTAGACTGTTGGAGACTGGCAGTGCAGTGTCAGCATCACCAGCATCACCACAAACAGTGAGTAATGTGTTACACTATGATGTTACAATGGCTATAACGTCACTAGGTGGCAGGAATTTTTCAGCTCCATTTTAATGTTATGGGACCACAGTCACATATGCTATCCATCATAGACCAGCATTGTTTTGCAACACATGCAGTGCATGATTGGGGATGGGAGGAAGTGTGAGTGTATTTAGATCTGTGATCCATTTTGAGTTAATGTTTGTCAATGTTGTGAGCTAAGGGTGCAGCTTCATCCTTTGCTTGTTGCTTTCAAGTTGTCTTTGAATAGCTTTTACATAGTAAAGGAAACACTGGTAACTGTTGTAGCTAAGAGTATAACTGTATTGGGAAGATGGGGATGGAGGAGGGCAAGAAGGAGCTAGAGTGAGTGCTAGGGGACAGGGAAGAGAGCTCATCTTGCTCTTGCATAGAGCCGAATCAATAAATAAAGCCTAAATAGGAAAGTCAGGCAGTAACAATATAAGCATGTTATTTAGAAACATAGAGGTAAATACCCAAATGATTAAATAAAAGAGGTGAAGGTGGTGGCCTCTGGGTTCATTGAAATGGGTGGGGTCAGAGATCACTGTTTTCCACAGCAGAGCTTTAAAAATTATGTCTGTAATTGTGCATAAGTTGATAAAAAACTTCAAGAGTAATTTAATGAGGGGAGCCCTAATTAAATATGAAATGTTATCACATGGCTGCAGTGCTTACAGCTGTGCAGCAGTGGCACACAGATGGACAGCAAGATCAGTAGAACAGAATGTGAAACCCAGAAATGGATTCAAATGCTCGTAAGAATTAGTATGTGATAAGGTCATATTTTAAATCCATGGCAAAACACAGGCCATCCATTAAAGGGTGCTGGAATAAGTGGGTAGCTATTAAGGAAAAATGTAAAGTTGGAAGTTGAATCCACACTTCACATCCACTTTGAACCAGAAGGGTAAGAAATTTAAATATAGTAAAATCTTCAAAGTGCTAGAAGGAAAAACCACATTTGACAAAACCAGTGAAAGAATGAAAGGAAATGAGGGTAAGTGTGAGTGTTTACCTCCTTCCTTCATAGCAGAAGTGATAGAACACATCAGAAATAGTAGCTTGCTGTTTTAAAAATCATGTTTAAAACCTGGTAAGAGAACCCGGGAGGCAGAGCTTGCGGTGAGCCGAGTTTGTGCCACTGCACTCCAGCCTGGAGTGAGACTCTGTCTCAAAAACAAACAAACAAACAAACAAAAAACAAACCTGGTAAGAGTTTGTACCATCTCTTTTTAACCTTAGAGGTGTATTTTTAGGAAAGTGTATCCTAAGATAAAGAAATATGTCTATTTCTAGTAGCTGCAGAGATTAAAATGTTTGTGTTAAAATAGGTAGAAGTGGTGGGGGCTGGTGGCTCACACCTGTAATACCAGCATTTTGGGAGGCTGAGGCAGGTGGGTCACTTGAGCTTAGGAGTTCGAGACAAGCTGGGGCAACATGGCGACACCCCATCTCTACAGAAAATACAAAAATTAGCCAGGTGTGGAGATGCGCACCTGTAGTCCCAGCTACTTGGGGACTGAGGCAGGAGGATCGCTCGAACCTGGGCAGTCAAGGCTGCAGTGAGCTGAGATCTCACCACTGCACTCTAGCTTGGGTGACAAAGTGAGACCCTGTCTCAAAACAAACAAACAAACAAATAAACAAAAAAATGGGTAGAAGAGTTTATTTCTCTTCTGTTAAAAACAAGTTAAATCAATTTTGTTTTTGGCTACAAGTAACTGTATATTGTGATACCTCCTTAATAAAAATTTTGTTTTAACTCTACATGCACCAGCAATTAATGCTTTTCCCTAACATTTAAAATGGTTATTTCTGGGTGGTATTTTTAAATTTAAATCCATCCATCGTGGATTATTGTTCATACTACATTTCCAATTCTGTCACTCAGCATTAACTGCCTGTTTGTGTATGGAGTGATTCAGAGGTGCAACACTGGGAGAACACAGCAACCCCAAGCTGGAGAGAGGGCACATGGCATTTTATTCTGGTTCTTAGAAGACTGAGCCAGATTGAAGAGGCATAGAGGTACACTCAAGGCATTGGCATGAGGGCCTGGGGACAGAAATGTGAGAGACATGATCCCTGCTCTCCCATGGCTGGGTTCTGGAGCTCTAAATGGCTGGAGCGGTTTTATTTCTTCTGCGCCTCCTCAAGTTTGCTGGAATGTGAGCCTTGTTATCAGGGTCAGCTTTGACGTCAGGATCTCAGTCTTCAACTCTGCAGCCCACACGAGAGCCTGTGCCTAGTGCTCTGCCTTGGGTTGCTGGTACTCTATACATGTTTGAAAACTGAATTTTGTTTGTGGATTTTTGCTTGGACTAACAGCCAAACAAGCAAAACAACAGTCAACACACATATGCAGCTAGCATTTCAGGAGCCTTGACCCTGGGGCTCCCAACAGATACATAAAGTTGGGGTCACTGAACTTTGAATTTCCGAAAGCTGCTATGGAGATTATTGCCTTTATAGAATTAAAGAGCCTATCAAGGAATGGTTTCCATATACATTAATTCTGCCCTTTTTCTCTCTTTTATCTTCCAGATATATCATACTTTGTTCTGGCCTCTTGAATGGACAGTAGCTGGCAGAGAGAACAACACTTGTTATGCAAAGATAATCTGCAATAAATTCGACCATGTATGTAATACCACTAGAAGCCAAAATGCTGTGATTTTTAAATGTAGCTTTTATTTTTAGTATTTGGATTTCTATAATTTTTTTTTTTAGAGACGGGATCTTGCCATGTTGCTCAGGCTGGTCTCCAACTCCTGGCCTCAAGTGATCCTCCTGCTTCAGCTTCCTGAGCAGCTGGGACTGCTGCACTTTTATAGTCTTTCTAAGGTAGCTTTCAGGACAATGCAGAGCACCTCCACGTTGTCATTTAGTTAACATGTCACAGAGGCTGAGCAGTGACAGTTTGTGATTGAGCCCTACCAGTGTCCTCTCAAAATACATCACTGAAAGCTGCCTTTTCCCAGGGCCATCTTGATAGCTTGATAGTTTAAACTTGATAGTTTAGAACTAGAAGATCTGTGAAAATTTTGGTCATCAAATAATAAGTTGTATGTATGCATTTTATAAACAGACTGAATGTGTGTCAAAAGTCTTTAGATGGAGATGTTCACACAAAGTGAAACTTGACTTACTGAGCTAATTCCTGATGCTTTCACTAAAGCAGCAGCCCATTATTGGAGGCTTTCCTCCTCCCAGTTATGAGGGGTGAGCATGAAAATGGTTAATAGCCTTCCTCAGTAGCGTAGTTTAAAGCACAGTTTGTTTATAATTTGCTTTATAAAGAATTCTGAATGTAGAAAGCAGTGTTAAGACTTGGTTCTTCTCTTGAAGAGTTTATCATCTGGGGAGAGGAAACATACAAATAGATAAATATGAACTGCAACAAGTGACATCTACATAAAAGTTTACTGAACAGCAGTCATTATCTTGTTTAATTCTCACATCTCTGTATTTATCTTATTCTCAGTATAACAGAAAACAGGGTGTTGCAGGCTAGTAGCCCATTAGCATGTGCTCTTTTGCCTGAATGGTGAAGTCATCCAGAGCTCTAGGGCTTAGTCTGTTGGTAGTTGCATATGGCTACAGGGCAGTGACAGGGATGGCGGTCATAATGGCCCTGAAATGCTCCAGGTTGGGCAGGTTCACAGCTGTGCTCCTGAGGGTGGGTGCTCATGTGCTGGGCTATATCCTGATTCTTTGGGACAGAGTTATCTGAGGTCAATTTTTGGCAGTTGTGGGCGGCCTTTCCAAAGGGAGTAGGGAGAGACTGTACACATTGTTACCCTCTGAAAGTGAGAGGGTTGGGGTTTGATGGGAGAGCCGCTGCTGAAGGTGGGACTTGCAGCTGTCATGCTAGTTCTGACCTCCTCATGAGGGTGTGGGCTGCACCTCTGTGGCTGTCAGCCCCGTTTCCCATCTCTGAGCCCCTCTGCTATGTCCCACGCCACCCTTCTGGCTCCCGCCCAGATCCCTAGGCCACACTCTTGTCCTTGCTCTTTAACTATGGGGAGCATGCCCCTTCCCTTTACCCTGGCCACATGCCTATTTCTTGAGCAGAACCCTCGAACTTACGAAATGGAAATACTTGACTCCAGCTCTAGGGTCAAAATTGTAAATGAGACTTTCCTCACTCAGGACCTTCATTTACACCCCTTTTCTGCTTGCTGAGCAACCCACCACCTCAGGTTCCAATGCAGTAGTCTTCTGTGGGCCCTGGGAACTCACTCTGAAGTCCCAGCCCTGGCAGCTTCTGCCTGCCTCCCCTCTGGAGTGCCCGTCAGCAGATGTGGATGCGTGTGACTGTTCTGAGCTGTTGCTTTTTCCAGAAGCTTAGTGGGCAAGGGTTTCTCCTGGCCCTGGCCTCCGTTGCCCTTTTATAGTCTTTCTCTTCATCTATTGTATGCTTTTACTGTTGAAGATCACAGTGAAGGATAATCTGATGAAGGAACATTGACAAATGGACAGCCTAGAATGCACCGTTACCGTGGAAAACGACTGCACATCTTGCTTCCCATCTTGGTGGGTCAGCTCATTGCCTGCACCCCATACCTCTCAGCACACAGCCCTGGGTGACAGCCCTGCACCAGCCTCTCCTTTGTCTCCACTTGATGTTGGGAGCAGGGCATCTTGCTTCCTGGGCCAGCAACCTCTTATTTCCAGTAAAACCTGCTGCCCTAGAGTTATTCCAATGTTGGACTTTAATTCAGATTTGTTATGTTGTTGTTGAGCATTGTCTCAGCATAATTTGGAAATTTACATCATACTAATGAACTCCTTCATGCAGTGGGTAAATTGCTTGTTCTAGTAAATTTGAGTGCAAATTAACTCTGGATGTGCATTTACTGGCTCATTTAACAGATTCTTACAGTGGCTTAGTTTCATGGTAATGTTCTCTGCTCACTTTGACATTGAAGTTCTTTTTCTGTAGTAGATACTGTATATTTTAACTGTGAATTTGCAGTGAATGGATCCATATTCAGACCATTAACCTACTGGGATTCTCTTTGTTTTGTTTCTGTATTAAAGGATCGGGTGATAGGATTTCATATTCTTGGACCAAACGCCGGTGAGGTTACCCAAGGATTTGCAGCTGCAATGAAATGTGGGCTCACAAAACAGCTACTTGATGACACCATTGGAATTCACCCCACATGTGGGGAGGTAGGAAACAGGAGGTTTTAAAAATTGGCTTCAGTTGATGTAGTTTGAAAAACTATTATAAAGCACTTGTCAGAAAGATGTCATATTAGTAACTGATTTGTATATTTTTAAATTTATTTTATTTCATTTTATTTTTTTCAGACAGGGTCTCACTCTGTCATCGAGGCTAGAGTGCAGTAGCATGATCTTGACTCACTGCAACCTCCACCTCCCAGGTGCAAGTGATTCTCCCGCCTCAGCCTCCTGAGTAGCTGGGACTACAGGTGTGCACCACCATGCCTGGCTAATTTTTGTATTTTTAGTAGAGATGGGGTTTCACCATGTTGGCCAGGGTGGTCTCGAACTTCTGACCTAAAGTGATCCACCTGCCTCAGCCTCCCAAAGTACTGGGATTACAGGCATGAGCCACCATGCCTGGCCAGATTTGTATATTTTAAAGAATAGCATAAATATAATATTCAGAATGTGTTTTTTTAAAACAATACTAACATCTAAATATGTATTTGTTTTCTTTCTCTTGAACAGGTGTTCACGACTTTGGAAATCACAAAGTCGTCAGGACTAGACATCACTCAGAAAGGCTGCTGAGGCTAGGCCTGCTGCTGTTTAGTTCTCCTTGTCATATTCTCATTTCTCTCAAAGATAAGAATGCTCTCGGATAAAATGAGCCTGTGCTCATGACAGCTGCTCTGTTACTCAGGGACCAGTGCAGGGCTGTCTTACGACACTTAGATGAGAAAGTAGACAAGGAAAGAGGACAGCAGTGGGCATCTGCCTTGTGGTCTTGCTGACAGCGAGAAGCAGTGGGACTGCTTCCTTGACGCCTTAGCTTGGAGCCCCGTTATGAGGTGAGCCAAGGCTGACTCTCGCAAGCCAGGACTGAGCTTCCCTCGGAAAGACCTTTGAGTGGCACCATTCACCTAAGTTAGCTTTTCTGGTCGCTATTGTTTTTATCCCCTTTGCTTTGTTGTTTCTGTGAAAATATATTTTCAGTTAAGAAATGCTATAAAGTAGTGGTTTTCTAGTGCGTGGGCCTAGAATTCACACATGCTCACTGGTGAACAGTGTCTGTGGGCTGCTGTGGGCTGCATTTGGATAGCTGTCTGCATTAGCAGGAAGCTGTACACACTGTGTAGGGTTAGTCATCTCTTTTCTTTTTTGAGGCACATTTAACCTACTGTCAAAACGCTGACTCATGCTTCACCCTCACACTCACTACTTGGTGGTGATAACCTTGAAGCTATTCTCCCCTAATTAATATCTCGAGACTGAGCAAAATATCTCATGTAAGATAAAAGTACTTGAATTGCTTTTTCATGTTCATCTTAATAGTATTATTTCCAAAAGTTTTTAATACTGTATTATGTGAAATCTAACTAATTTATCTGTGAAATAATTCCATCACAGTCTGTTTAATGATGATAAAGTTCCATAAATGAATACAGGTAATATTAAGTGGTTGCATGGGAATTTACAAACATGTCAGCATTTCAGAGGTCCTTCAAGACAGAGGCCCATCCAAGGTCCTTTTGGAAAACCTCTGTGTTCTTGAGTATGCCACACAGTAGTCAATGCAAGGCTCTTTTAGGCCACTTGCTCTCATGAGCCACACTAGCTGTTTAGCTTAAGATTGGATAGGCTGGGGTCACAATTTCTAGCCATTTGTCTTAAAAGACAAATGTTAAGCTAACAGTTAGGAACACTGTTTGTAGACAGGCATTTTGTTACCCTCTTTGGAGGCAGGGAATGGAGCAGTGGGGGAGTGGGGCTGGGAACCCAAAGAAAACTGACATAGGACCTAGTTATGGAGTGGCTTTTTTATTTGGGAGAAAAAAATGTGTCTAAAAGGTGTAAAGTATGGTGTGGTAATTGCTATCCATGTGGCAGAAACAGTGCAGTGGGAAGCCGAGGGAGATGTTATTAATTTCTATTGGCTGTGGGGCAGGGGTAGGGTAATTGAACAGAGTTTAATAAAAGTAGCTGTATTTGAGCTGAATTGCAGGAGATAAAAGGATTAGATTAGAAGCAATATGGAGAGGGTGTGATTAATGCTTTCAACAGACTTGATTTAAATACTTGATAAAATATATTTTTAATAATTTTGTTACTGTATTGCTGAGTGCCACACACACACAGAGCCAGCAGAATCCCAAATGAAGCAAAACCAAAAACCCTGGAAGCCTTCAACTCCTGCTTTGCACTGAGCATGGGGCAAAAAAAAACGAAATCCCAGGCTTGCATGGGTGGAATTTCTAATAGGAAACCTTTGTATAAAGCTGGAAGCCCAATGGGCTGTACTCCAGTGCAAAGTTGAGTGGGAAGCAGACTGCCTCATAGAGAGAGGCAGCAGAGAAGCCTGTGTTCTCACTGATGTCGGTGGAAAGAAGCAATCCATCTTAAGCATTTGTAACCACTGTCCAGGTTACAGACCATTGGAACGGCTAATTATCTTTCTTTTGCAAGGAGGGGAGGATGCTTACATATAAACCTATCTGTGTTGGCTTCCTTTCACCTTTTTATTTTCCTCTCTGTCTCTTCTCCCTCTTTTTTCCTCTTTTTCCTCTCCTGGGGTAAATATGGTACCTATATATTGATGAGAGACTAATTTTACCTGGAAGATAAAACTAGTATGCATCAAATAACATACAGATGTATATAGATCTGCAAGAAATAATTGATAGTGTCTGTTATAGTGGAGATTTTAACATACTTCAGTAATTTATTAGGTCAGACACACAAAAAAATCAGTAAAGACTTATTTTTGAGTAGCAGAATTAACAAGCTCAACTCAAAGATTGTACCCAATATGAAAGCACACTCATTTCAAGCATGCATGGAATATTTATGGAGTTTGCCTTGTGCTAGGCCATAAAGGCTAGGCTTAAGAAATTTCAAAAGGCTAGTGTCGTATAGGCATTGGCAAGAGGATTTCAGCGGTGGGACTAACTAGAAACCCAAAGACCTTAAACTCCATATAGCATGATGGAAAGTAGAGGGAGGAGTTGGTGTGAGGGAAGTGAGGGGTTAGTGGGAGAACAAGCTGGAGAGTTGGTAGAACCAGGAGCTGCTTCACAGGAAGCAGAGAGCAATAGAAAGTTCCTAGGCTTTGAAGAATGATAAACTTGGGAATGCCTGGTCTCATGACTTACTAGATGTGTGATAGGATAAATTGCTTAAATTTTCTTATTCATTTATTAAGTATGGACAGTATTACCTGTCTCACAGACTTAAAGAATTGAACAACATTTATTAAGTTGTTAATATAGCACTTTGGATGGAAAATCTTGGCTTCTGTGATGATAAGTAGGGTCCCATTAAGGAAAGCTCTTGTGGACACTCAACAGTACAACCAGTAGGCAGGCAGACAGGAAGAAGGGGGACAAATTGCTGCTCTTGCAGACTTTCACTGTGGAAGGGAGCCTCCAGGTTGGCCGCCAAATTGGATCTCCACCAATGGGAAATCACACCTTTGTATAATCCCCGCCTGTTAGACCAGGGCTGGTCTGTGTGGCCAGTAGCATATGGCAGGAGTGATGGTATGTCCCTGCCACGATTAGGTCATGAAGAGATTGCAGCTTAAGTTTTGGTCACCCTCATGCACTCTCTCAGGTCACTTGTTTTGCGAGAAGGCAGCTATCATGTTTTGATGACGCTCAGGAATCCTATGGAGAGGCCCATATGGTGAAGAACTGAAGTCTCCAACCAACAGTCAGCAAGAAACTGAGGTCTGCCAATGTCTGTGTGAACGAGCTTGGAAATGAATGCTACTCCAGTCAAGCCATCCCTGGGCCAGCAGCTTGATAGTAACCTCTTGAGAGACTTTGAACCAGAACCATTCAGTTGGTTACTCCAAATTCCTGATCCTTAGAAACTGTGAGAGAATAAATATTTGCAATTTAAACTGCTAATTTTCAGAGTAATTTGCTACACAGCAATAGATAACTAATACATTCACCAAGGAAAATTAAACTAGTACAGACCTGATGAGTTAATAAAATGTCTTGGGGACTTTATTCCTAGGACAGATAAAATAAACCTCATATAGATTTTAAAATTCAACAAAAAGGGATTAGGGCACAGACTTAGCACTGAACTTACTTCATAATTGCAAACAAGGAAACCCCAAGCAGAGAAGTTCATGGGGTCTAGTGGAGTGCCCTCTGAGTTGGTGATCCTGAGCTGTGGCTGTGACAGGTTCCTGCTAAACTTCAATTAAAGCATCCTTGTCAAAGCTTGCACCAAAGATTACTAGGGAAACCTGTTCATCAAACAAAGCTGTGTTTATTAAGCTTAGCAAGGAAGAGCTCAGCCTTGACAGAGTCGAGTCTCAGTATCATTGCAAATGGGAGTTAGGAGAGAGTACTTTGTGAGACTAGGGTTAGTCATAGGGTAGTTATAGGAGAGAGATTAGTAAGTGTGTCTTGGCAGCAGTGGGTCAGAGTTTGAAAACTATTTGCTGGAATGGTCTGTTAGTGGTCTTATTTTTAGAATTGGGGGTATACGAGACCATATTGAGTTTCTGTTACTGTAGTCTTTTCTTGAAACATGGATCTGAATGAGCTAGTGTAAAAGATTTTCAACTTAGATAATTTGTTGTACAACATGGCTTAGTATGGTTCATCTATTTTTGAGTAATAGTACACTTGTTAAGTAGTTGGCTTTATTTTCCAATGGAGAACCATCCAGTGCTTCTAAGCAGGGAATAACAATGAGACCTGTTAGGATTTTATTGCAAAAGATTATTAAATATTTATTGAGACTTATGTTTCGAGCCATGCTGGAATTACAGTGACTATACTCACTTTTCCTCCATAAGCAAACTGGAGGATATATGAAATGACTACACCCAGACATGGAACAACAAACTGCAGGACGGTGATCCCAGACAGAAGGGAAACAAATGAGGTGATACTTAACGGTTGCCTCAACTTTCTGCATGGAAGTAATTTTCAGCTCCAAACAAAGGGAGAACTCAGACAGCCTGGTGACCTTCCTGAGTTATGGTGGACATCAGAGTTTAGGGAGGTTCAGACAGCTGACAGTTGTAGGGGAGATGCAGGTGGGAGCTATGGAGAAAAGAGCTCCAGAAATCTGCAAAAGGGTGCCCTTGAGTCTTTGCTGAGGACTAAATCCTTAGAATGGAATTCAGAGGACACATCCTATGAAAAGGGGGACACATCCTTAGAATGAAATTCTAGAAGGTTGGGCAAAAAGTGACAGGGAGTTGTAAGTTGAATAATTACTGTAGGTCTCAGAAGGTGGAGAAAAGTTCAAGCTCTGACCACCACAGAGGATTCTTCAATGATCCCTCCAGGCATTTTGTGAAGACCTGGTAAGGGGTCATGTCTTAGTATTAGGGTTTATCTGGAGTGAAAGCTATCTGTCCTAGATAAAATTGAAAAACCCTAGGCTTGATGGAACCACGATGATCCAAAAGTAATGGCCTGCAAGGGAAAGCATAACGCTCTTCAAAGGAAAACAGCAAAACATTCAACAATATGACAACCATAATGTCCAATATTTGGTTAAAAAAATTAATGCACATGCTAAGAAGGAGGAAAATGTGACCCATAGCCAGAAGAAAAATCAGTGAGTAGAAACAGACACAGAAGTGACAGATATGATGGAACTAACAAGGATGTTAAAGCCACTATTAAAACTATGTTCAAGTGTTTGCATGGAAACATAAACATAATGAGAGAAATGGGAGATGGTAAGAAGAACCAAATCAAACTTGCTGAGATGAAAAATTACAATATCTGTTTCAGGGGGGCTCATGAGCCTTAGCTAGTTTGGTACTTTGCTGAAAGTACTCATAACTCAACATAAAGTTATACTCATGCCTATGGATTATTATAGCAAAGGATCAAGTGCAGGAACAGCAGAAACAACAAAAGAAAACAACAGTCAAAGGTTAGATCACACACAGGCTTCCACGACCTCCATGTCTCTTTGAAAGGCATACAGATGTGCTTTTCTCTCCAGCTGTGAACTGAAAGATACATGTGATATATCCCCACCCAAGGAAGCTCACTCAAGTCCTGGAGTTCAGAGTTCTTCAAGGGGGACTGGTCACATAGCTACATGAGAAGCATGGTGTGGATGCCAGACCAGGCACCAGATGCACATCATGAATCTTCATGTTTACCTTAGACACTGATAAGCTGGTTCATCTTGACCCACCACTTTGGGCCTTTATAATAAGACTATCATTAAGCAGTAACTATGTGACCATTCCAGGAGTTTAGTTTTCAGGACTTGGCCAAAGATCCTTGTCCTGGCTACAGGGATACGCAAGAACTGAGTAAAATAAGCCTATTGCATTGTTTCCTGCCCATACCTCAAACTAATATTCACTGGATAGAATCAGCAGCAGACTACACAGTGTAGAAGAAAAAAATGAGTGAAGAAAAGATAGTTTCTACATAGCAGTAGAAACCATCCAAAATGAAGGACAGAAGGAAGAGACTAGAAAATAAAAACGCTGAATCAGTGAGCTCTGAAACAGTCTCAGATGGTTTAACATGTGTAATTAAGGTCCCGGAAAGGGGAAGCAGGAGAGCATCAGAACAATATTTTGGGAAATAATGGAAAAAATTTTTACAAATTTGATGCAAACTATAAAACTCACAGATCTGAGCCCTGTAAACATAACACATCATGCTAAAGGCCTGTCTACCTCAGTACATTTTACAAAGCCCATCATGTCTGGCTTTCAACAAAAAATTACAAGGTATGCTAAAAGACAGGAAACCGTTTGAGACAGAGCAAGCATCAGAACTAGAATCAGATATGATGTGTTGGGATTATCAAATTGGGAATTTAAAACAACTAAAATAAATGTGTTAAGGGTTCTAACTGAAAAAAAGTAGAGAACATTCAAGACCTGATGTGTAATATAAACAGAGAAATGGAAATTCTAAAAACTAAAAGGAAATGCTGGAAATCAAATCCGCTATAACTAAAATGAGGATGGCCTTTGGTGGCTCATCAGTAGACTGGGCACAGCTGGGGAAAGAAGCAGTGAGCTTGAAGACAGGTTGAAAGAAACTTCCCAAAGTGAAATGCAAAGAGAAAAAAGAAATGAGGAAATAAAAAGAGATCATCCAAGAATGAGGAAGAATTTCAAAGGCTGTAACATATGTGTAATTGAACTACCAGAAGAAAAAGGAGAATGGAGCAGAAGAAATATTTGAAGTAATAATGCCTGAGAATTCTACAAAATTAATGACAGCTACCAAACTAGAGATCTAGGAAGCTTGGGGAACACCAAGCAGGATAAATATCCCAACAACAAAAAACTACACCTAGGCATGTCATATTCAAACTGTAGAATTTAAAAAGAAAATCTGAAAAAAGCCAGAGGGAAAAATCACCTTATCTATGGAGGAATAGGAATAAAAATTATAGTAGGCTTCTTACCAGAAACCATGAAAGCAAGAAGAGTAAAGTGAAATATTTTAAATGTTTAAAGGAAAACCCTGCCAACCTAGGATTCCATATTCAGTGAAATTAACCTTCAAATATGAAAGAGAAAGATTTTCTTAGACAATGTGAAGTGGTATAGTGTTATCTGAAGGTTAAAATGCATATTGGAAACTCTAGGACAATCACTGAATTTCAAAAGGAAGTATATATGTAAAGAGAGGAGATAAAATGGAACAAAATAAAATGCTCAGCTGAAACCAGAGAAGACAGAAAAGAGGGATTTAAAAGAAATAATGAGTGCAACATAAAGCAGCTAGAAACATGGTAGATGTTAATTCATGTATATTAATTTAGTAGGTGATTGGGGCTGGACATGGTGGTGCACATCAGTAGTCCCAGCTTTTTGGGAGGCTGAGGCAGGAGGATTGCTTGATCATGCTCACATCACTGCACTCCAGCCTGCGCAAGAGTGAGACCCTGTCTCAAAAAAAAAAAAAAAAGTGGGGGAGACCTAAATGCACCAATTGTAACAGAGCCTCACTCCATTTTTGATGTTTGCTGACAGTTTTTAAACCTCATCCCCCTGTCTCTTTGTCCACATCTGGGCAAGCTGATAAAAAGCCCAGGTGCTTGTGTGAAGTTAAGACTGTGAAAACTCCAGCCCATGCATGGGAATCCCTAATTTCATGGTGTTTAGCAGCCCCACCCGCTGCATCAACTTGGGAAGTCTTCCCTCCTCTCCCAGAAAGCCTCACTATGTGTGTAATAAACCTTTTCATGTGCTCTTGGGGTGTATTTGAGGTCATCAGTCTTGTCAACTGAATCACAGTTGGGCTGCAGATCCATCCTGTCCCTCTGATGTGGTCGCAATAGTTGGCCAGCAAGCAGGACATCTTGATGATGACTATTGTGGCAGGGTGAGGGGTTCCTTCTCTTGCTTTGGCTCGCTAACTGGCTGTGCTGCTTGCTGACAAGCTTGCACTTTGAGCTGTGCTATTTTGTGTTGCATTGTGGAGTTCTGCTGAGCCTCCATTAAGGATTTAACTGACAAAAGTTGGAAATTTTGATTATTGGTATTCAGGACCAGAGCATGGGATTGGGCCATTCCTTAAAGTGGCCTTGGAGCATCTGTCTTGGTACAGATCTACCTGTATGTCTCAGATTGAATTGTATGTCTCACGCACAGGCATAACTGATGCTAGACTCAGGGGAATGACTCCTGCCCAGTGAGCACTGGCTATATTCTTAAGCAGTCATAACCCCTGTTCTATAGTGCTCAGGGGAAAGAATGATACCTTGTGCAATGCATGGGCTCCTCAACTGGTTGTTCATGTGGAGAAGGAGCAGTTAGCTGTGTGACATGCTAAGATCACACTCCTAAAAGCAGGTACTTTACTAGGACACTACAAAATGTCTTTTCAGCTACTGCTGCATATGCCTGTCACTAAAAGGATCTTGATCCTCAAGGTTATAGGAAAAAATTACCCACGGCACTCCCATGGCACAGGCAAGGAGTTAATTCCACAGTTGCCATGTGGGAGGCCTCTAACTAATGATACTGATTTGAGATTCTTTAGGGGAAGACAATTTTAAGTATGAGCAGCATGGAGAGGACCCCATCCCTAAAGTGTATTCAGTAACCACTATGAAAAGGGGAGGGATAGAGGGAAGATAGGAAAGAGGGAAGGAGAGAGAGAAGGAAAAAGGGAGTGAGGAAGAAGGGAGGGAAGGAAAGAAGGGAGGAAAGGAAGCGGGAAGGAGGGGAAGGAAGGAGAGAATGGAAGGAAAGTAGGGAATGGGGAAGGAAGGAAGGCAGGGAGAGGGGAAGGAAGGAGGGAAGGAAGGAAGGATAGAGGTGGGAAGGAAGGAGGGAGGGAGGGAAGGAGGAAAGGAAGAAGGAAGGGAGGGGAGATAATGGGGGTGGGGAGAAGCAAAAAAACTAAAATAGAAGCTCACAGTTTTACCCAATTGGAAATCTAAAATTATCTTTAAAAACTTATATAACAAAAAGATTAATGGACACTGATTGGCTGTTTGTTTCTTTAAAAAAAAAACTTTTTAAAGTATACAATTCAGTGGTGTTAAATAAACATCACCACTATCCATTTCAGAAGTTAAAAAAAAAATTCCAAATTGAAACTACTCATTAAACAATAACTCTCCATGCCTTCTCCCCCAAGCCTCTGGTAACCACAATTCTACTTATCGTCTGTATAAATTTGCCTGTTCTAACACCTCATATATGTGGAATTATACAATATTTGTCCTTTTGTGTCTGGCTTATTTCACTCAGCATTATGTTATAGCATTGTCATAATTTCATTCCTTTTGAAGGCTGAATAATGTTTTGTTGTTTGGATATACTGCATTTTCTTTATCCATTTATCTGTTGGTGGGCACTTGAGTGGTTTCCACCTTTTGGGTATTGTGAATAATGCTGCTGTGAACATTGGTGTACATGCATCTGTTTGAGTCCTTGCTTTCAATTCTTTGGGGTATATACCCAGGAGTGGAATTGCTGGATCATATGGTAACTCCATATTTAATCTTTGAGGAACTGCCAGATTGTTTTCCACAGTGGCCACATCATTTTACATTTTCCTCAACAATGCACAAGGTTCCAGTTTCTCTACATCCTCACCAACACTTGCTATTTTCATATCCTAATGGCTGCAAATTGGTAGCTTATGGGTTTTTATTTGCATTTACCTAAATAAAGCCTAATTAAAACATCAGACAAGTGGCCGGGTGCGGTGGCTCACGCCGGTAATCCCAGCACTTTGGGAAGCTGAGGCGGGCAGATCACGAGGTCAGGAGACCGAGACCATCCTGGCTAATGCGGTGAAACCCCGTCTCTACTAAAAATACAAAAATTAGCTGGGCCTGCTTGTGGTGGGCACCTGTAGTCCCAGCTACTCGGAAGGCTGAGGCAGGAGAATGATGTGAACCCAGGAGGCGGAGCTTGCAGTGAGCCAAGATTGTGCCACTGCGCTCCAGCCTGGGTGACAGAGTGAGACTCCTTCTAAAAAAAAAAAAAAAAAAAAAAAAAAAAAAAAAAATCAGACAAGTTGCTATTAAGGTATTCAAAAGTGAGGTATTCTACAAAATACCTCACCAATACTCTTGAAAGCCGTTAAGGTCATGAAAAATAAGGAAGGTCTAAAAAACTATCATAGTCAAGAGAAGCCTAAGGAGACATGGCAATCAAATAAAATGTAATGTCCTGGATGAGAACCTGGAACAGAAAATAACTAATGTTTTTATCTAATCTGAGTGAACTATTGACTTCAGTTAATAATGTAACATGGTTCATTAATTGTAACATGTGTACCATACTAATAAGGGAAACTGGGTGGAGTGAGGGGGTGTGTAGGAACTCTGTATTATTTTCTCCATTTTTTGTACATATAAACTGTCCTAAAATCTGTTTTTTAATGAAAAATCTACAGAAATTAACAAAATAATAGCAAAATATTTTAAACAACTCTATCCCACTAAATTGAAAAAAACTTATGGAAAATGGACAAACACCTGGAGAAACTGACTCGAGAAGAAATAGAAAATTTGAATATTGCTGTATTCATTAAAGAAATAAAAGGTATCATTAAAACCTTTCTGCAGTGAAAAAACAAGACTAAATGACTTTGCCGTCAAATTTTTTCAAACATTTAAGGGGAAAAAGAAGCCAATTCTACACAAATAGGAGAAGGAAGGAAAACTTCCCAACTCTTGCATCCAACAGAACAATGGTACCCAAAAACTGACAAAAATTTTGAGAGAAAATAACTATAGACCGATACAACATATGAAAATCAACTCCAATATTCCTAAAAATTCTATCTTCAATCCAACAAATTATACAATGGATAATACATCATGACCATCATGACCAAGTTTATATCCCAGAAATGCAATGAAATAATATGAGAAACAAAAGAAAGAAAGCAATATAGTCATCTCAATAGATTTAGAAGACAAAATTTTTTTGTTTTTTTATTATGTTTATCACTTATCCTCAAGTTTGCATTTATGATATAAATTCTAAGCTAACTAGGAATAGAACATCCTCAAACAAATAAATGACATCTACAGAACAAGTACAGCTAACATTATACTAAGATGACTGAGCACAGGCAAGGATGCTGACTTTTACCATTTTTATTTAACATTGTAATGGAGGTCCTAGTCAGTTAAGTGGTGCAGGAACTATAAATAAAAAGCACACAAATTTGAAAGGGAGACCTAAATGTCCTTATTTGCTGATGACATGATTGTGTACATAGAAAATCCTAAGAAATCTGCCAGAAATAACTACCAGAACTTCCAGATGAATTTAAAAGTTGAAGAATACAAAGTTAACATAAAAAATCAATTGTATTTCTTGTTTTATTCTTTTTTTTTTTTTTTTGAGACGGAGTCTTGCTCTGTTGCCCAGGCTGGAGTGCAGTGGCGTGATCTCAGCTCACTGCAACCTCCACTTCCTGGGTTCACACAATTCTCCTGCCTTAGCCTCCTGAGTAGCTGAGATTACAGGCATGCACCACCACGCCCGGCTAATTTTTGTATTTTTAGTAGAGACGGGGTTTCACCATGTTGGTCAGGCTGGTCTTGAACTCCTGACCTCGTGATCCACCCACCTCGGCCTCCCAAAGTGCTGGGATTACAGACATGAGCCACCACACTCGCCAATCAATTGTATTTCTAAGAACTAACAACAAACCATATTGAATTGAAAATATGATGATTACAATATCATGTACAACAGCATATAAATATGAAATACTTAGACATAGTTTTAACAAAATATGTGCAAGATCTTTATATGAAAAACTATAAAACATTGCTGAGAAATTGTAAAATGAAATAAAGATATATCATATTTTTGGATTGGAAGAATCCATATTATTAAGATGTTTCTTTCTGCTCAAATTGATTTTTGGATTCCGTGCAACCCCAGTGAAAAATCCCAGCTTTGTGGCCAAAAAAAAAAAAAAAAAAAAAAAATTCTCTTAATTTTTAAAAAATTTCACGCTTTCCGATGGATAATTTGCTGGATGTAGAAATCTGGGTTAATAATAATTATTATTATTTTCGAGACTGAGTCTTACTCTGTCACCCAGGCTAGAGTGCAGTGGCACGATCTTGGCTCACTGCAACCTCTGCCTCCCGGGTTCAAGCAATTCTCCTGCCTCAGCCTTCTGAACAAGCTGGGACTACAGGCGTGTGCCACCACACCTGGCTAATTTTTCTATTTTTAGTAGAGACACGGTTTCACCACATTGGCCAAGCTAGTCTTGAACTCCTGACCTCAGGTAATCCACCCGCCTTGGCCTCCCAAAGTGCTGGGATTACAGGCGCAAGCCACTGTGCCTGGCCAGTTTTCTTTCAGCAGTTATAAAATGTGGTACCACTTCCTTTTAGCTTTCATGGTTTCTAATGAGAAATCTGTAATTTGAATTGTCCCTTTATAAGTAAGTGTTGCTTTTCTCTGGTGGCTTTCAAGACTCTCTTTCATTTGTGCCAGTTTTATCATGATGTATTTAGATATAGATTTCTTTGGGTTTATCCTATTTAGAGTTCACTGAGTTTCTTGCATCCTTAGATTTATGTCTGTGTCAAAATTGGGATATTTTCAGCCATTAGTTCTTCAAATATATTTTTATCCCTGCACCCTTTCTCCTCTTCTTCTGGGACTCTGATGACAAAAAGGCTAGATATTATTGTCACACAGTTCCCTGAAACTCAATTAAGTTTAATTTTTTTTCCTGCCAGTTGTTTAGATTGGATAATTTCTGTTGATCTGTCTTCAGGTTCATAGACTTTTTAATCTGTCATATCCATTCTGCTATTGAGTCTATCTGATGCTTATTAAAATATTGGTTATTGCATTTTTCAGTCCTAAATTTTCCATTTTGTTGTTATTTATATCTTTTGTTTGTTTCCTGAGCCTTTCTATTATTTTATTCATTTCAGGAATATTTTCTATTACTGATAGGGACATTTTTATAAGAGCCATTTTCATATTTTCATCAGTTAATTTCACATCTGTATCAGCTCAGTGCTGGTGTCTATTGATTGTCCTTTCTTACACAAATGGAGATTATCTTGGTTTTTCATATGCTATTATTTTATATTGTATTCCAGACATTTTGAATATTATAAGTCTCTTGGTCTTATTTAAATCTTATAGCAAAGGTTGGCATTTTCGTTTTATCAGGCAATTGTCCTGATTGGGTTCAGGCTGCAAGTTCCTATGAGCATTGTATGGGGTTGGTTTCAATGTCAGTTCCATTTTCAAAGTGTCCTGCCACGCAGTGTTCTCTCTGCAACTTGAAATGTCCCACAATTCAGTTCTCAAGGCCTATAGTGTGCTGTTTAGGGTCATATCCATAGGTGTGTAGCTTTGAGTGAGATCAGTGATTTATAAACAACTTTGTGGGGTTGCATTCCCAAGTTCCTTCCTCTGTGCAATCTCACTAATATTTTCTAGTTCCCTAGGACTCCCTTTTTTTGTTTTTCTAGCCCCAAAGCTGGGATTTTATTCACCTCTCTCTGCCACACACTTTATGCAACTCTGCACATTAAGGGCCCAGTATCAGGAGGACAGAGAGAGGAAAAAATGGGGTTGTCCTACATTCCAGAGATAAGGTTCCCCTCAGAGTTTTAGGCCTCTGCCATCACTGCTACCAATCTCGTTGCCATGGAATTGCTTGGGGGCTGAGCATGAGCAGAGAAAAGGAAAAAAACAAAAAGCAAAAACAGAATTTCTCCCACTGTCTCTGAGCATCAGGAAGCCCTTTTCCCATTGCTCAAGTCAACAGTAGAAGGGCTTCAACTAGAGCTACCTGTCCTTGCCAATACCCAGTTCAGAGTTTCAGACTGCACCAACCAGCCATTCCTCTGTGCCTCTCTATCTCCTCAGGCCTCCCTATTCCCTGAGACACAGCAATATTGAAATTAGGCCAGTTAATAACCCTACAGTGGCCTCTAAGTGTTCAAGTGAAAGGAAAGGAAGAGTTGTACATCTCTCACTTTAAATCAAAAGCTAGAAATGATTAGGCCCAGTGAGGACAGCAAGTCAAAAGCTGAGATAGGCTGAGAGCGAGGCCTCTTGTGCCAAAGAGATAGCCAAATTGTGAATACAAAGGAAAAGTTTATGAAGGAAGTTAAAAATGCTATACAAGTGAACACGTGAATGTTTCACTGAAAGTGAAATAACCTTATTGCCCATATGGAGAAAGTTTTAGTGGTTTGGATAGAAGATCAAATCAGCCACAACATTCCCTCAAAGCCTAATCCAGAGCAAGCCCCAAACTCTTCAATTCTATGAAGGCTAAGAAAGGTGAGGGAGCTGCAGAAGAAAGATTTTAAGCCAGCAGAGGTTGGTTCATAAGGTTTAAGTACAGAAGCTGTCTTCATAACATAAAAGTGCAAGGTGGCCGGGCACGGTGGCTCACTCCTGTAATTCCAGCACTTTGGGAGGCCGAGGCGGGCTAATCACGAGGTCAGGAGATTGAGACCATCCTGGCTAACATGGCAAAACCCCGTCTCTACTAAAAATACAAAAAATTAGCCGGGCATGCTGGTGGGTGCTGTAGTCCCAGCTACTCGGGAGGCTGAGGCAGGAGAATGGCTTGAACCCGGGAGGTGGAGCTTTCAGTGAGCCGAGATCACGCCACTGCACTCCAGCCTGGGCAACAGAGTGAGACTCCGTCTCAAAAAAAAAAAAAAAAAAAAAGTGCAAGGTGAAGCAAGTGCTGTTGGAGAAGCTGCAGCAAGTTATCTGGAAGATCTAGCCAAGATTATTGATGAAGGTGGTAAACAGCAGATTTTCAATGTAAGCAAAACAGTCTTATATTGAGAGAAGATGCTATCTAGGACTTTCACAGCTAGAAAGAAGTTGATGCCTGGCTTCAAAGCTTCAAAGGGACAGATTGACTCTTGTTAATACCACTGGCGACTTTAAGTTGAAGTCAGTGCTCATTTACCATTCTGAAAATCCTAGAGCCCTTAAAAATTATGCTAAATCTACTCTGCCAGTACTCTAGAAATATAATAATAAATCCTGGATAACAGCACATCTGTTTACAACATGCTTTACTGAATATTTTAAGCCCACTGTTGAGCCCTGCTGCTCAGGAGAAAAGACTGCTTTCAAAATATTACTGCTCATTGAGGCCAGGCACAGTGGCTTTGGCCTGTAATCCCAGCACTTTGGGAGGCCAAGGTGGGTGGATCATCTGAGGTCAGGAGTTCGAGACTAGCCTGGCCAACATGGTGAAACCCTGTCTCTACTAAAAATACAAAAATTAGCCAGACGTGGTGGGGGGCACCTGTAGTCCCATCTACTCAGGAGGCTGAGGTAGGAGAATCGCTTGAACCAAGGAGGCGGAGGTTTTAGTGAGCCAAGATCATGCCACTGCACTCCAGCCTGGGTCACAGAGTGGGACTCTGTCTCAAAAAAAAAAAAAAAAAAAAAAAATATATATATATATATATATATATATATATATATATATATATATATATATAGCTGCTCATTGACAATGCATCTGGCCGCCCAAAAGCCCTCCTGGAGATATACAAGGAGATGAATGTTGTTTTCATCTCTGCTAACCCAACATCCATAGATCCCATGGATCAAGGAGTAATTTTGAATTTCAAGTCTTACTGTTTGAGAAACAAATTTAATAAGGTTATAACTTCCATAGATAGTGATCTTTCTGATGGATCTGGGCAAAGTAAATTGAAAGCTTTCTGGAAAGGATTCACCATTCTGACACCATTAAGAACATTCATGATTCATGGGAGGAGATCAGAATAAACATTAACAGGAGTTTGGAAGAAGCTGATTCCAACCGTCTTGGATGACTCTGAAGGGTTCAAGACTTGAGTGGAGGAAGTCACTGCAGATGTGGTGGAAACAGCAAGAGAACTAGAATTAGAAGTGGAGCCTGAAGATGTGACTGAGTTGCTGCAATCTCGTGATCAATCTTGAACAAATGAAGAATTGCTTCTTATGCATGAACAATGAAAGTGGTTTCTTGAGATGGAATCTTCTCCTGGTGAAGATGCTGTGCACATTTTTGAAATGATAACAGGATTTAGAATGATCACAAAATTGGTTGACAAAGCAGCAACAGGATTTGAGAGGATTGACTCCACTTTTGAAAGAAGTTCTACTGTGGGTAAAATGCTATCAAACAGCATCACATGCTACAGAGAAACCTTTTGTGAAAGAGTCAATCGATGTGGCAACTTTCATTGTCTTGTATTAAGAAATTGCCACAGCCCAGGTCCCACGCCCACAGAGCCTTGCTCACTGCTAGCACAGCAGTCCCAGATCGAACTGCAAGGCAGCAGTGAGGCTGGGAGAGGGGCGTCTGCCATTGCTGAGGCTTGACTAGGTAAACAAAGAGGCCAGGAAGCTTGAAATGGGTGGAGCCCTGCCTCTGTAGACTCCACCTTTGGGGGCAGGGCATAGCTGAACAAAAGGCAGCAGAAACTACTGCAGACTTAAACGTCCCTGTCTGATAGCTTTGAAGAGAGCAGAGGTTCTCCCAGCACAGAGTTTGAGATCTCAGAACGGACAGACTGCCTCCTCAAGTGGGTCCCTGACCCCTGAGTAGCCTAACTGGGAGATACCTCCCAGTAAGGGCCGACTAACACCTCATACAGCTGGGTGGCCCTCTGGGTCACCTCTGGGATCCTCTGAAGCTTCCAGAGGAAGGATCAGGCAGCAACATTTGCTGTTCTGCAATATTTGTTCTGCAGCCTCTGCTGGTGATACCCAGGCAAACAGAGTCTGGAGTGGACCTCCAGCAAACTCCAACAGACTTGCAGCTGAGGGTCCTGACTGTTAGAAGGAAAACTAACAAACAGAAAGGAATAGCATCAACAAAACAAAAAGGACATCCACACCAAAACCCCATCTGTAGGTCACCATTATCAAAGACCAAAGGTAAATAAAACCACAAAGATGAGGAGAAACCAGATCAGAAAAGCTGAAAATTCTGAAACGCAGAGTGCTTCCTCTCCTCCAAAGGATCACAGCTCATCGCCAGCAATGGAAGAAAGCTGGACAGAGAGTGACTTTGACGAGTTGACAGAAGTAGGCTTCAGAAGATCAGTAACAACAAAATTCTCTCAGCTAAAGGAGAATGTTCGAACCCATTGCAAAGAAGCTAAAAACCTTGTAAAAAGATTAGACGAATGGCTAATTAGAATAAACAATGTAGAGAAGACCTTAAATGACCTGATGGAACTGAAAACCATGGCATGAGAACTACGTGACACATGCACAAGCTTCAGTAGCCAATTCTATCAAGTGGAAGAAAGGCTATCAGTGATTGAAGATCAAATGAATGAAATGAAGCAAGAAGAGAAGTTTAGAGAAAGAAGAGTAAAAAGAATCAAACAAAGCCTCCAAGAAATATGGTACTATGTGAAAAGACCACATGTACGTTTGATTGGTGTACCTGAAAGTGATGGGGAGAATGGAACCAAGTTAGAAAACACTCTTCAGGATATTATCCAGGAGAACTTCCCCAACCTAGCAAGACAGGCCAACATTCAAATTCAGGAAATACAGAGAATGCCATAAAGATACTCCTCCAGAAGAGCAACCCCAAGACACATAATTGTCAGATTCACCAAGGTTGAAGTGAAGGAAAAAATGTTAAGGGCAGCCAGAGAGAAAGGTCGGGTTACGCACAAAGGGAAGCCCATCAGACTAACAGCAGATCCCTCAGCAGAAACTCTACAAGCCAGAAGAGAGTGGGGGCCAATATTCAACATTCTTAAAGAAAATAATTTTCAACCCAAAATTTCATATCCAGCCAAACTAAGCTTCATAAGTGAAGGAGAAACAACACACAGACAAGCAAATGCTGAGAGATTTTGTCAGCACCAGGCCTGCCTTACAAGAGCTCCTGAAGGAAGCACTAAACATGGAAAGGAACAACCGGTACCAGCCACTGCAAAAACATGCCAAATTGTAAAGATCATCAATGCTAGGAAGAAACTGCATCAACTAACGAGCAAAATAACCAGCTAACATCATAATGACAGGATCAATTTCACACATAACAATATTAACCTAAATGTAAATGGGCTAAATGCCCCAATTAAAAGACACAGACTGGCAAATTGGATAAAGAGTCAAGACCCATCAGTGTGCTGTATTCAGGAGACCCATCTCACATGCAGAGACACACATAGGCTCAAAATAAAGGGATGGAGGAAGATCTACCCAGCAAATGGAAAACAAAAAGAAGCAGGGGTTGCAATCCTAGTCTCTGATAAAACAGACTTTAAACCAACAAAGATCAAAAGAGACAAAGAAGGCCATTACATAATGGTAAAGGGATCAATTCAACAAGAAGAGCTAACTATCTTAAATATATATGCACCCAATATAGCAGCACCCAGATTCATAAAGCAAGTCCTTAGAGACCTACAAAGAGACTTAGACTCCCACACAATAATAATGGGAGACTTTAACACCCCAATGTCAATATTAGATCAATGAGACAGAAAGTTAACAAGGATATCCAGAACTTGAATTCAGCTCTGCACCAAGTGGACCTAATAGACATCTACAGAACTCTCCACCCCAAATCAACAGAATATACATACTTCTCAGCACCACATCACACCTTATTCCAAAATTGACCACATAGTTGGAAGTAAAGCACTGCTCAGCAAATGTAAAAGAATAGAAGTTATAACAAACTGTCTCTCAGACCACAGTGCAATCAAAGTAGAACTCAGGATTAAGAAACTCACTCAAAACTGCACAACTACATGGAAACTGAACAACCTGCTCCTGAATGACTACTGGGTACATAACAAAATGAAGGCAGAAATAAAGATGTTCTTTGAAACCAACGAGAACAGAAACACAACATACCAGAATTTCTGGGACACATTTAAAGCAGTGTGTAGAGGGAAATTTATAACACTAAATGCCCACAAAAGAAAGCAGGAAAGATCTAAAATTGACACCCTAACATTACAATTAAAAGAACTAGAGAAGCAAGAGCAAACACTTTCAAAAGCTAGCAGAAGGCAAGAAATAATTAAGATCAGAGCAGAACTGAAGGAGATAGAGACACAATAAAAACCTTCAAAAAATCAAGGAATCCAGGAGCTGGTTGTTTTGAAAAGATCAACAAAATTGATAGACCGCTAGCAAGGCTAATAAGAAAGAAGAATCAAATTGATGCAATAAAAATGATAAAGGGGATATCACTACTGATCCCACAGAAATGCAAACCACCATCAGAGAATACTATAAACACCTCTACGCAAATAAACTAGAAAATCTAGAAGAAATGGATAAATTCCTGGACACATATACCCTCTCAAGACTAAACCAGGAAGAAGTTGAATCCCTGAGTAGACCAATAACAAGCTCTAAAATTGAGGCAATAATTAATAGCCTACCAACCAAAAAGTCCAGGACGAGAGAGATTCACAGCCGAATTCTACCAGAGGTACAAAGAGGAGCTGGTACCATTCCTTCTGAAACTATTCCAATCAACAGAAAAAGAGGGAATCCTCCCTAATTCATGTTATGAGGCCAGCATCATCCTGATACCAAAGCCTAGCAGAGACACAACAAAAAAAGAGAATTTTAGACCAATATCCCTGATGAACATCAATGCAAAAATCCTCAATAAAATACTGGCAAACCGAATCCAGCAGCACATCAAAAAGCTTATCCACCACAATCAAGTTTGGCATCATCCCTGGGATCCAAGGCTGGTTCAACATACACAAATCAATAAACATAATCCATCATATAAACAGAACCAAAGACAAAAACCACATGATTATCTCAATAGATGCAGAAAAGGCCTTTGAGAAAATTCAACAGCCCTTCATGCTAAAAACTCTCAATGAACTAGGTATTGATGGGACATATCCCAAAATAATAAGAGCTATCTATGACAAACCCACAGCCAATATCATACTGAATGGGCAAAAACTGGAAGCATTCCCTTTAAAAACTGGCACAAGACAGGGATGCCCTCTCTCACCACTCCTATTCAACATAGTGTTGGAAGTTCTGGCCAGGGCAATCAGGCAAGAGAAAGAAATAAAGCGTATTCAATTAGGAAAAGAGGAAGTCAAATTGTCCCTGTTTGTTGATGACATGATTGTATATTTAGAAAACCCCATCGTCTCAGCCCAAAATCTCCTTAAGCTGATAAGCAACTTCAACAAAGTCTCAGGATACAAAATGAATGTGCAAAAACCACAAGCATTCTTATATACCAATAACAGACAGCCAAATCATGAGTGAACTCCCATTCACAATAGCTTCAAAGAGAATAAAATACCTAGGAATCCAACTTACAAGGGATATGAAGGACCTCTTCAAGGAGAACTACAAACCACTGCTCAACGAAATAAAAGAGGACACAAACAAATGGAAGAACATTCCATGCTCATGGATAGGAAGAATCAATATCGTGAAAATGGCCATACTGCCCAAGGTAACTTATAGATTCAATGCCATCCCCATCAAGCTACCAATGACTTTCTTCACAGAATTGGAAAAAACTACTTTAAAGTTCATATGAAATGAAAAAAAGAGCCCACATTGCCAAGACAATCCTAAGCAAAAAGAACGAAGCTAGAGGCATCACGCTACCTGACTTCAAACTATATTACAAGGCTACAGTAACCAAAACAGCATGGTACTGGTACCAAAACAGAGATACAGACCAGTGGAACAGAACAGAGCCCTCAGAAATAATACCACACATCTACAACCATCTGGTCTTTGACAAACCTGACAAAAACAAGAAATGGATTCCTTATTTAATAAATGGTGCTGGGAAAACTGGCTAGCCATATGTAGAAAGCTGAAACTGGATCCCTTACTTACACTTATACAAAAATTAATTCAAGATGGATTAAAGACTTAAATGTTAGACCTAAAACCATAAAAACCCTAGAAGAAAACCTAGGCAATACCATTCAGAACATAGGCATGGGCAAGGAGTTCATGACTAAAACACCAAAAGCAATGGCAACAAAAACCAAAATAGACAAATGGGATCTCATTAAACTAAAGAGCAAAAGAAACTACCATCAGAGTGAACAGGCAGCCTACAGAATGGGAGAAAATTTTTGCAATCTTTCCATCTGACAAAGGGCTAATATCCAGAATCTACAAAGAACTTAAACAAATTTAAAAGAAAAAATTAAACAACCCCATCAAAAAGTGGGCAAAGGATATGAACAGACACTTCTCAAAAGAAGACATTTATGCAGCCAACAGACACATGGAAAAATGCTCATCATCACTGGCCATCAGAGAAATGCAAATCAACACCACAATGAGATACCATCTCACACCAGTTAGAATGGCGATCATTAAAAAGTCAGGAAACTACAGGTGCTAGAGAAGATGTGGAGAAATAGGAACACTTTTACAGTGTTGATGGGACTGTAAACTGGTTCAACCATTGTGGAAGACAGTGTGGTGATTCCTCAGGGATCTAAAACTAGAAATAACATTTGACCCAGCCATCCCATTACTGGGTGTATGCCCAAAGGATTATAAATCATGCTGCTGTAAAGACACATGCACACATATGTTTATTGTGGCACTATTCACAATAGCAAAGACTTGGAACCAACCCAAATATCCATCAATGATAGACTGGATCAAGAAAATGTGGCACATATACACCATGGAATACTATGCAGCCATAAAAAAGGATGAGTTCGTGTCCTTTGTAGGGACATGGATGAAGCTGGAAACCATTATTCTGAGCAAACTATTGCAAGGACAGAAAACCAAACACCACATGTTCTCACTCATAGGTGGGAGTTGAACAATGAGAACACTTGGACACAGGGTGGGGAACATCACACACTGGGGCCTGTCGTGGGGTGGGAGGAGGGGGGAGGGATAGCATTAGGAGAAATACCTAATGTAAATGACGAATTAATGGGTGCAGCACACCAACATGGCACATGTATACATATGTAACAAACCTGCACATTGTGCACATGTACCCTAGAACTTAAAAGTATAATATATATATATAAAATAAAAAATAAATTGCCACAGCCACCCCAGTCTTTAGCAGCTACCACTCTGTCAGTCAGCAGCCATCAACATCGAGGTAAGACCCTCCATCAGCAAAAAGATTGTGACTTGGTGAAGTCTCAGATGATTGTTCGCATTTGTTAGCAATAAAGTATTTTTAATTATGTACATTGTTTTTTAGACATAATGCTATTATATACTTAACAGACTACAGGATAGTATAAACATAACTTTTATATGCACTTGGAAACCAAAAAATTCATGTGACTCCCTTTATTGTGATACTTACTTTATTGTGGTGGTCTGGAACCAAGTTCCCAATGTTTTCAAAGTATGTTTGTAACTTCTAGAAGAAAACATAGGAGAAAACCTTCATGATCTTGGTGTAGACAAAGATTTATTAGATAACATACAGAAATTATGAACTATAGAATAAAATAATGATAAATGTACTTCATCAACATTTTGAAAAAGTCATTGAGAGCTTTTATGAAAGAAAAAGGCAAGCCACAGACTAGGAGCAAAATATTTATAAAATATAGATCCAACAAAGGGCTTGTATTTGGATTATGTAGAGAATCCTTACCAGTCAACAATAAGAAGACAAGGAACCCAATAAAAAATGGGTAAAAGATTTGAGCAGATGTTTCATGTTTGCCAATAAAAGTGTGCATTTAGCAAAAATAGCAACATAAAAAGATGCTTAACATCATTAAGTATAGAGAAATTCAAATTAAAAATACAGTAAAATACAACAACACACCCATAAAAGTGGCTACATTTAGACTGACAATACTAAACGTTGGTGAGAATGTGGAGCAACAAGAACTTTCATACATAAAGGGTAGAAATAGGAAACCACTTTGCAGTTCCTTGTTAGGTTAGACATACACTTGCTATGTATGTTTAACTTACTATGTACTCTTACTATATATCCCCATGATTTAACTCCCAGGTAAAACACAAAGACTCGTGTGAAAGGCAGCTTTATTCATAACGCCCTCAAATTGGAAAGAACCCACATGTCCATCAGAAAGTGACTGGATAAATACATCATAATACATTCATACAATGGAATACTATTTGGCAATGAAAATGAGTAGATCACTGACAAAATTCAGTAACATGGGTGAACCTCAAGATCATTATGCCAAACGAAGCCAAAAAAGTCCATACTATTTGTGTATGTTCATAATACGTGTATGAAGTTCTAGAAAAGACCAACCTAATATGTAGTGATAAAAAGCAAATCAGTGGTTGGCTGGGGTAAGGGTTAGTAGTTATTGGGAAGGGACACAATGGGACTTCTTGGAGTAACAGGAAGGTTCATTATCTTGAGTGTGGTGATGGCTACAGGACTGTATGAATTAGTTGATTCATCAATCAGTCATAAATCAAAATGAATACCTATTTGGTGCATTTTATTATATGTAAATTATACTTCAAAATTGATTTTTTTTAAAGAGACGAGGTCTCACCCTGTTGCCCAGGCTGTATAGTGGTGCAGTCATAGATTACTGTAACTTCTAACTCCTGGGCTCAAGTGATCCTCCTGCCTCAGCCTTCTGAGTAGCTGGGACTACAGGCATGTACCACCATGCCCAGCTAAATTTTTTTAAACTTTTTGTAGAGTCGAGAT